>NC_000010.11:14100909-14252424 GCF_000001405.40 Homo sapiens | reverse complement strand
CATGAAATCTAAATGTAGCCCATGATTTTTGGATTTTCTTTTCCTGTAAAGAACATTCTTAATAATGTCCTTTTGTCCAATTGGCAAAAATCTCAAGATATGTAGATTAGATGATAATATCGCTTCAACGTTCATATGTTCATTTTGATAATTTCCTGTAGTTAGGTAAGGAAATTTCTCACTCTTTGGAAAGACACACTGGAGTATTTATGGATACATTTTACTTTAAATCAACCTGAAAATAAACTAGGAGAGGAAAGGAGAAAGAGAAGGCTGAAACAAACATAATAAAATGTTAACATTTGAGGAATCTAGGATAAGGGCATTGGACATTCGTTTTTCTATTCTTGAAACTTTTCTATAAATATAGTTTGTTCAAATAAAATATATGCAATAAAATTTTAAAGCTTAAAAATACATAGTATGATACTAATGTCTTCTTTTCTATTCTCATGCTTTAATAATCATCATAATAAGCATATATACAGCATTTACTCTCTGCCAGGCTCTGTTTTAAATTGTGTGTGTGTGTGTGTGCACATGTGTGCACACATGCTCGTTTGATCTTCCTCCCATAAACCTAGCAATATTATTCCCATTTTCCCATCAAAAAATGAAGGGACAGGGAGGTTAAGTAATTTGCCTCTGGGTTCATCCTGATCAGTGTTGGAGCTGGGGTATGAACTCCCAGGAATCTGGCTCCAGGGCCCACGTAAACCCTGAGCCACTCAAAGAGACTTCTTATTTTAAAACTCCTTAATATCACCTGGAACTCCTCTTTCAAAGTGTTTATTTGGAGTCTGTATTAGTTATCTGTTTATGCCTCACATATTGTCCCAAAACTTAGTGGCTTGAGATAACAGTCATTTAGTATCTCAGTTTCTGTGGATGGGAAATTGGGTGCAGCTTAGCAAAACACTTCTGCTTCAAGATCATTCCTGAAGGTTGTAGTGACGCATTTGACTGGGGCTGCAGTTTCATCTGAAGGCTCAACTGGGGGATATTTGCTTCCAAGATCATTCTTGTCATTGTTGGTAGGCCTACGTTCAGCACTATGTGGACCTCCCATAGAGGTGCCTCATGACATAGCAGCTGGCCTCCCCTGGGTTAGTAAAGCAAGAAAGAAGGAAAGAGAGCACACCCCAGACAGAAACTAAAATCTTTTTATAATCAAATCCCAGAAGTGACACTCCTTGACTTCTGCTGTATTGATTTGTTTCTAATTAATAGTCTATTGAATAGTTAGAAACAAATCCATAAGTTTATCCCACTTTGAAAGAGAGGGGTTAAACTGGGAGTAACTACCAAGAGGTGGGGTCATTGGGGGCTGTCTTGAGGCTGCCTACTACACAGTTTAGGTACTGGCTGGGAGCATATTTTTGGCTGTTCCCTTTGGGCACTGTGATCTCTTGAAAGAGGCCAGGTTTTGAATACAGCTAGAAACTATGCAACTGGGGCATGGAATGCTAACTTTCTAAGAGGCAGCTTTGCTTCTTCCTGGCAATGAATACAAATTGGCCTCGTATTATGTTTTTCATTCTGGTACTATTAGCCCTGTAGGTGCTGGACATCACTCCCAGAGACCAGCAAGTGCCTGGCTGTGACTCCTGGGCCTCCCCCTGAGACTGCCCATTCCCTCTCTGCTCACTGTGCCCATGTCTTCATCAGCAACCCATGCTGGACTCCCTGGGGGTAGGAAATGTGTCGTTTTTGCTAAATCTGTTGTTTCCCACCAGCACAGCCCTGAAGCCAAGGACTGGGTTAAAAGAGAACTAGCTAATTCTCTAGAAGAGCTTGCTTGATTTTTGGCCCCACAGAGGGTCTGACATATGGCTGAGAGGTTTACACACTTTGTTGGTTCTACAAGACAGGCTTTTATACCTGGGCAGTTGTAATAGAGAGACCAAACAGATTATAGACTTGATAACATCCCAGGATTACAGCCTTAATCTTTTCCCCTTAATTGGAAAATCCTTTTATAGGGCAACACCTTTGTAAAAAGTAGAGGAGGCAACAGCTTATAAAACAAGACGCCATTTTCACCAGGTATTTCTCCTGCTATTCTATGCTTCCTCTTTCTTTGCTCCCAAATTCTCATTGTTGAAGTTATTCCTTTGAAATGGGCACAGTTTTTATGAGGAGGAGGAATAGAAAAGTAAAAACAGGCCAGGCACAGTGGCTTACACCTGTAATCCCAGCACTTTGGGAGGCCGAGGCAGGCAGAGCACCTGAGGTCAGGAGTTCAAGACCAACCTGGCCAACATAGTGAAACCCCATCTCTACTAAAAATACAACACTTAGCCAGGCGTGGTAGCACGCACCTGTAATCGCAGCTACTTGGGAGGCTGAGGCAGGAGAATTCACTTGAACCCGGGAGGTGGAGGTTGCAGTGAGCCGAGATCACACCAGCCTGGGCAACGAGAACAAAACTCTGTCTCAAATAAATAAATAAATAAATAAAGTAAAAACAAGAAAATAATCTTATTTAGTTCCATCACCTGAAGAGTAACTACATTAATATGTTGTTGTGTTTCTTTCCTATTTTTTGACACATATATACTTTTATTAAAAAGTAAAACTAGAATTATTTTACGCAACCTCTCGTTTTTTCCACTTAGGATTTCGTGAATGACTGCTTTGTCTTCCATCCTGTACCTACACCTTAGTTGATGCATCCCTTATCGGGAACGTTTACTTTGTTTCCAAGTTTTTTCCCTTAAGAATAATGCTATCATGAATATCCTTGTGCTAAATTGTTTTGCATATCTATGAGGATTTCTTTCAGTGACATTCCTGTAAGTGAAATTTCTGGGTCGGTAGAAGAAATAGACATTGTTATGGATGCTGAGAGCAGCACTGACTGAAGTTCTGGAAAGGGAAGCGGCTGCAGAATTGGACATGAGGAGATGGACACTGGGGTGGCATGGGCAGTGCAGACTGGGGCTTCAGCATGTGGGCCCTAGAGTAAGACAGTCCTGGCCTCTGGCCCCAGCTTCATTTCACACAAACACTAGTTCTTTGATTTTAGGAAAGTTATTTCAATATCTATTTGTTTCTTTCTTTTTTTTTTTTTAAGACAGATTCTTGCTCTGTCGCTCAGGCTGGAGTGCAGTGGCAGGATCTCAGCTCACTGCAAACTCTGCCTCCCGGGTTCAAATGATTCTCCTGCCTCAGCCTCCTGAGTAGCTGAGATTATAGGTGCCCACCACCACACCTGGCTAATTTTCCTATTTTTTAGTAGAGATGACATTTCACGATGCTGGCCAGGCTGGTCTCGAACTCCTGACCTCAGGTGATCCAGCCGCCTCAGCCTCCCAAAGTGCTGGGATTACAGGCATGAGCCACTGCATCCGGCCGGTTATTTTAATATCTGAACCTCAGTTTTGTCATCTGTAAAAGGGACTTAAAGTCATCACGTATGTCAAAACGTAGGTGCAAGTGATTTTACCAAAATTCTACCTTAGAAAAGAAGGCATTTCCAAATAAAAGAATCCTTACCAATTGTTTCAAACCTTGGGATGCTGTCTCACTTAGTTTAACTTGACAAACATGGAATTGTTTAAGGAAAAAACACTGGCCTGAAAGGACTTCCATCAGTGCTTGTTTGGAGTGCTTACTGAGGTTTTCTGACAGAATCAGTGAACAGAAAGGAGGCAAATGAATTGAACCCATTTAGCAATTATTCCTTGGAATATGACCTCATGAATGCAAGCATTGGAGGCCATTGTAAACAAACCCTGTGAAGATTCCTTTAAAAAGCAATAAGGTAAATAGTTATATTGTAGAACTCCTTGATATACACCAATAGCATGAATAAATAAAACATCTGTCCTAATGTGATATTAATGTGTATTCATTTACAGCTTGGGAAAAAATTTCCAGTGACAGTGTGCCACATCTCAAACAATTCAGAGGGAAATGAAGGTGATATGTCCTGTAAAAAATGAATTGAATGACTCTAAAATTGGCTCTAGAGATAACGAACACATTGATGAATAAAATTCTGTAATATGTAAGACTGGAAAAAGGCACTATTTCTACATTAATGTATTATTTAGATAGTATGTGGTTTTAAATATGCATGTGCAACGGAATTAAATTTTTTAAGTCATATTTGTTTTATTTATATCTTTGAGTTCATATAGTCAATCGGATTTTTTTAAAGTGTTGATGGGAGAACTTCTCATTGGAGAAGATGGGTCTCCTTATATTTGGGCAGATTAGTTTTCTAACTCATAAAGTTGTGAGAGAATAAAAATGTGATGTTTACAAGGCACTTATGCCTCTGCCTACCATACAGCAGGTGCTCAATTAATGCTAGCTCATGTTACGTGGGGAATTGGGCAGCTGAGGGAAGCAACAGAGAAGCACCCGCTGAGGTGCCAGGGGTAGGGACAGCAGGAAGGTTTGAGAACAGAGGGAACAGAAGGCAAACTACTTATTTTGTCATTTGGCTTAGGATGAGGTTTGGCCATGTAGAGTCGTTTGTTTCCAATTTTTTTTTTAACTTACGAAAATGCTGTTTCGTGTGAAGGTCCAACAGAGCTCTCTGACTTTTATACAATGCTTGGAAGCATTTTAAAAATTACAACCAAGATAATCCTGTTCCCTCACACTCAATTTAAGCAGAGGACAGAGGCTGGGCTTTGGGCCAAGGCTGAGACTTCCAACAATCAGAGCGGGTCCTGTGCCCCGTAAGGCCTTCCCCTCTCTTCCCTCTTCTTCACTCGGACTTCCCTAAATGTAGGGGCTAATTTCCCAAGCCATTTTTAAAGGAAAAGAATAAATGTGGTTTTGGTATCAGCTTCCTCTGCCAGGTTTTGACATATGGATCTTTGGGCCACACTCCAGAAAACTGACTGTGGAGTGAAGAGAGAGACAGAAAGAGCGAGAAAGAGAGAGAGAAAGTGAGAGTGAGAGAGAGAGAGAGGCCTATCTGTATGTTAACCTACCTAGTTTAGCAGAAAAAGGAAATGGCAAGAATTTTAATGTGATCTTATTTCTTTTGACAGGTGCTATGAGCTGCATTTTCAATTTGCCATTGTTCTGGGCACCGTGTAAATGTCTATATTCCAGGGCCAGAGGTTTGAATCTAGTTCCTCAGGCACAGTGCTTTAACAGTGAGGACCATCTGGGCTGTAACTGAATGTCTATCTCTAGTTGTGTAGATGGCAAACTGACTTCCACCAGGATGGAAGCGGGGTGACTCTGGGCATGGCCATCACAGTCTCCCACTGGTCTTTGGGTCACTAGTCTCCCTGTGTGGCCAGCGGGGATCGGCAAGTTTGAGCTGAGAGGTGGTTTATGTGATGCTCCAACCCAGATTGGTGCACGCGCTAGAAGAGCTTGCGAGTCCCACCTGTACAGAAAGGGAAGTGAACTATCTAGGTCATCTTTAAAAACCTCCTGTGAAGAAAAAATATTCTAGAGCTTGATATACCCCTCAGGGAAGCCCACTCCCTCTAACCGTGCCCATGTTCACACAACGCAGCTACACTACCGGGTGATTACCCCTTCCTTGCCTGGGTCCCTGGGCACCCCTTCCCTTCCTGTCTCACACTCCCTCCCCTTCCACCTGAAGCACAATCTTTCTTCTCCTGTGTTTAGTCTCTCACTATCTCCGCGTTTTCTCTCTTTTGTATTTCCACCGAGGCGGGACCTAACCTCCCTTTCTTGCTTTTGGCGCCACAACGTCCTTTGGGGATGGCGTTAAACACTTTTTCCTGGCAGACCTGGTGTTTAGTCAAAGTAACTTAATTACTTATAGTTCACTATTGTATCAGTGGCATTAAGGCTGTATGTGCGTGTGTGTGCGCACATATGTGTGTATATGTATGAGCATGCATGTGTGTACATATGTGATTGTGTAAATACATGCATGTGTGTGCATATACGTCCACATGTGATTGCATATGAGTGCATGCATGTGTATGTGTGTGCATATGTATGTGTGTTTGTGTGTGCCTGTATATATGTGTGATTGTGTATGAGTGCATGAAAGTGTGTATGCGTGCACTTGTGTGTGTGTGTGTGTGTGTGTGTATGTGTGTTTTCTTATTTCTGTACTACCACTTCTTGGATCTGTGTAGGTGCTCATAAAGTACTTTCCTGAGGCTAGTGACATTAGGTTTTGTGCTTAGTTGTGATATAAAGGTTCTTCTTGATAAATTGATTTTGCCCCCATCTCTCTGTAACCCTCCTAAATTGAAGACCTAATTCTTTAATTGGACCTGAGAAATCTGGGTTGATTCAACAAGAAACCAAGCATTGACATGGAGTTTCTCTAGCAGGTTCCTGCTGAATCTGGGACCACATCAGTCTTTGGGAATGGGAGCATCTGAGGAGCCCCTCGCAGTAGCAGGGCAGACAGCCCTTGAGTCTCCTTTGCCTCAGTTTTTGGAATGATGATGGCAAAGGCAGATGACGGAGGGAGGTTCTGTGTGGCTGCTGTGCTGCTGTGTCCTCTTTCAGGCACAGCCGGCTAAGTGGCCCAGCCTCAGCATCCAACGAGGGTTTTCAGAGTTGGTCTGGCTCCCCGCACTGGAAGGAGCTTGTATGAGTTTGCTTGGGCTGCCGTAATAAAGCACCACAGACTGGGAGGGTTAAACAACAAAAACTTATTACAGTTCTGGAGACCAGCAGTCCGAGATTAAGGTGTTAGCAGGGTCCATTCCTTCTGAGACCTCTCTCCTTGGCTAGTAGATGCTGTCTTCTCCCTGGGTCTTCACATGGTCTTGCAATGTCTGTCCAAATTTCCTCGTCTTACAGAGACATCAGCCATATTGAATTAGGGCCACCCTAATTACCTCCTTTAACTTAATTACCTCTTTAATGACCCTGTCTCCAAATACATTCACGTTCTGAGGTAGCGGGGATTAGAACTTCAACAGATGAGTTTGGGGGGTAAGGGAGATACAATTCAGCCCACAACAGGACTTGAGCAGCTTCTGGAAAGCATTTTCCTCTCTTTGAATGCTGCAAATACTCTAGACATTCCTCTCTACCTTACTCCCTCAGTGTTTTATTTGTTTGAACTAACTTCCTTCACAAAGCAATCCCTTGGTCATCCGCATTTTGCACAAGAGGAAACTATAGAAAGGACAAATAACCTGCCCATACCTCAGAGCTGATACCTCACCAACGAACCCGGAGACCTAAGGCCGGTGCCTATGCTCTCCTCCCATGCTGACCTGTGACCCATGTCCTCCACTGCCACTGATCCCAGCCCAAGCAGCCTAAGAAAGGTCCATGGCTTCACTTGCTCCTGGGGACCCAAGCGTAAGTGTGGTTGTGCAATGTCCATGAGCAAGCTTGTGATGAGTCATTAGTACTCCCATTTCACAGCTTGAAAACTAAGAGCCTGAGGCTTTTGTGCAAGATTCCATATTCAAGGGATGTAAGAGCTCAGAAGGTCTTTGCTGACCAAAGGAGACTGTACTTCCAGAAAGATCGTGCCTAATTAGAGGCTAGTAAAGTGAGGCAGAGAAATCATCTTTTATTGCTTGAGGAGAAAGAGCATTATAGCCATTTAGAGGTGGCAGGAAATGACTCATGGTGCATCTTAATGGTCAAAGTAAGCCTGAACATTAAAGAGAACTCAGTATTACTGCGGAAAGAGCACAGGTTTTGGAGTCAGACGAATTTGTATTTGATTCTAAGTGCTGCCTTCCTGGGTGTGATGTTTTAGATTCAGTTGCTTCATCTGGAAAATGGATATGTAATATTTCCTTGCAGGTTCATTGTAGGACTTTAGATTATATAGGTAATGTGCCCAGTTCAGTGTTTAGGTTGGTTTTTCATTTCGTTTTGTAGTAAAAGTAGGCTAGGCTAAAACATGGTAACAAATTATCCCCCATCTTAGTGGTTTATAACTACCTTTAAATATCACATCAAATTATAATATAAATGTCATATTTAAATGTCAAATGCCTACCATGACTCCTCATGTGGATACAAGAGCCCCCATCTCAGGCAATGTAATCCGCATAGATTGCTGGGATCTTGCACCAGCAATGAGATGCTTCAGTTTGGAACTGACACTTGTTGCTTCTGCTTACAGCTCATTAGTTAGACGCTAGTCACTGGGTTCCACCTAACCACAAGGGGGCCAGAGGGAAGGCATTCTGGCGCCTGGAAGGGGGTGGAAGTCTGGCAAGGCTGGTGAACAGCAGTGAGGATGATCCCCTAGCACAGGGTAGCATCTGAGGTGTTTAGGGAATGGTAGCAATTATTACAACTCCTCCTGCCTTTTCTTAAAGTGATTGTGTTCTGTTCCATTTGCTTTCTTTCAAGCAAGACTTAATTCATACTAATTAAGGGGGCTAATTGATTTGGTCATATGTCTTCTTGCTCCCTCACCTTTGGGGAAAATTAGCCATTAATATCCCAAAGTCAATTGTTATTCTCTGAGCTTTCAAGGTGGAGTTGTGTACATTCATTGATAAAGAAGAAGGCCTTTGACCACAGGTTGAGAAGAAGATACTGATGATCACTTTTATTTTAGATATACAACTGAGGGCCCATTTCTTCTTAATGCCTATTTGAATGTAATTAGATTGCAGTCCTGGGGCTGACTACTCCTTTTTTTTTTTTTAATTGTGGTAATATATACATAACAAAGTGTCATTTGAACCATTTTTAAGTGTTCAGTTTAATAGCAGTGTGAATGTACATTCATAGTTGTGCAACCACCATCTCCAGAAGTTTTTCTTTTTTTTCTGTCTTCTGAAATTGAAACTCTGTATCCGTTAAATAAGTACTCCCCATCCCCCTCCCCTAGTCCCTAGCAACCACCATTTTACATTCTGTCTCTATGAACTTGACCACCGTATTCTAGGCACCTCATATACATGGACTCACATAATATTTGCCTTTTTATGACTGGTTGTATTAGTTTATTTTCATACTGCTTTAAAGAACTGCCTGAGACTGGGTAATTTATTTAAAAAAAGAGGTTTGATTGACTCACAGTTCCGCATGACTGGGGAGGCCTCAGGAAACTATGGCAGAAGGGGAAGCAGGCACATCTTACATGGTGGCAGGCGAGAAAGAGCATTTGAAGGAGGAACTGTCAAACACTTACAAAATCATCAGACCTCATGAGAACTCACTATCACAAGAACAACACAGGAGAAACCGCCCCCATGATCCAATCACCTCCCACCAGGTCTCTCCCTCGACACGTGAGGATTATGGGGATTACAATTTGGATGAGGACACAGAGCCAAACTATATCACTGGCTTATTTCATTCAGCATAATGTTCTCAAGGTTTATTTGTGTTGTAGCATAGGTCAGAATTTCCTTCCTTTTTAAGGCTGAATAATATTCCAGCATGTGTGTGTGTATGGATGGATGGATGAATGGATGGAGGGATGGACAGATAGATAGACAGACAGATGCCATATTTTATTTATCCATTCATCTATAATGGGTACAAAGTTTACTTCCACCTTTTAACCCTTTATAAATAATGCTTCCATGAGCATGGTGTCTCAAAATATCTGTTGGAGACATTGTTTTTAATTCCTCTTGATCTATATCTACAAGTGGAATTGTGGGATCATACTGTAATTGTATCTTTAATTTTTTAAGGAGCTTTCATACTCCTTTCCACAGTGAATGCACCATTTTCACTCTCACCAGCAATCTCTTTGACTTCTGACTCCCTGTCTGACCTCCCCATGAAAAGTCTTGGAGTATTAGTTGTTTCGTTTCAGATTATTTGTACGAAGGACAGGGTCCCTCTTGTGTTCCATCTATCGTGACTTAATTTGGCATTTATTGCCTCCTTATCCTTGTTTTACTTTGTAATTTTGTTCAGAGGTCATGCACTAGAGGCATAGGTTTAAATCCTTACAAAGAACAATGTGAACACAAAAGTTATCCTTTGTATGTCTTTATTGGACTTTTGTCATTTTTTATTACCATTAATATACTACTTATACCTGCGGGCTATCTATCACCAAATGTCTCCAACATCCTTAGCAACGACGTGTAAGAAATATCTGCAAAATCTAATATAATAATGCAGTCCCTTAGAGATTTGTGAGAATAAAATTAGCTTGAGGAATGCTTCTGATTTGAGTTAGCGTCTGACTTTTAGGTGTACTAGATAGATCTAACAACATATTGGAAAAGAACACTTGGGGAATAAAGAAAGCCCTCATCTTTGGACGTTCTTCTCATCCCCATGCTCCATACGATCCCTGATGGTAATAAATATCCAATCTGTGGACTCTGTTTTCTCAGAATTGGCTAACCCTTTTCTCTTTTGAAGTGGTTATTTTTTCCTACATGTCTGAGGTCTCAAGCCTGGTGTACTTAGCTTGAGACAATAGGTACAAGTACCTCGAGTAGTGAGTATGGAGCTAGGCAACAGGTCCTCCTCCAGGCTGATATCCACTAGAGCATCAGCACTGTCTTAGAAAACAGCAGTTTCCTCCTACTCCTGAGCTCAGTGTTACAGGCAAAGCAGCTTGGTGGTGATACAGCTTAGGAAAACAGAAGAGATCCTCAGGATGGTCTCACTCTTCCTAAATCACCCCAGAAATCCCAGCATGTGTGGCCTTGGGGTCCTCAGCCACTCTTCCCATCCTGTAGGGCAGATGGACAACAAACTCCTAGACAGCCCTTCTGTTCTGTTCATTTTATGTTTGTAATGTCTGTTCCTGGCAACACCTCTGTTTAATTCTCAGTTGGCTCTTTTTTTTTTTTTTTTTTTTTTTTTTTTTTTTTTTTTTAGGGAGGGTAAAACAAATCCCTCTCCAATGCTTTGTAGAAGGGGATTAGAATCACTGTGGAATTCGGTATTGGCTAATAAAGTATAAACGCTAAAGATCAATGCCTGAGTGCACAGTTGTCCTTCAAGCCATTGTACTTCTGCTTTCCAAGAATAGAAGACTACTTTTTAACCAAGAATTAAAAATAAACTCATAATTTAAACACCTCTTTCATGCCAAATGGAAATCTTAGTGTTGAATAATCAGGCTCACCTGAATACAAAGTTGTCCTGAAAATGCTGACAATCACAAAAAAGGTTCTAGAAGCTTTTTCAAAAAACAAGTTCAGATGGTTCCAACTGAGTTACTATTGAGTTTAAAGAGATCAGGTCAAAGCTGATTTTGCTTGGTGTACATTCCATTTTCTCTGAATGAGGACTGATTGCCTATTTCATAAATATAGTGAAGGAATTAAATTTTACATTAGCTGGGCTATTTTATTATAAGCTACTTTTATAGGCCAGTTTTAACATAGGCTATTTTATTACATCCCTTGAAAGCACTGCATTTTGATGGAAGATATTCAATGCTCATTAAACCAGCAGAACCCTATGTAGATGGAATTAATAGCCAACAGAACAGAGGTAACTGCTTCTTCATTTGCAAAATGCTGAGCCATTAAAAGGATCAATCAGTAGGGGGTGATGTAATCCACCAATGCAGACATTTGCAGCCTGGTTCTGCTGATGCATCTGAATACAAAATTGCCCGGAATTTTTTTTTTTTTTTTTGAAGTGCATTAAAGAGAAAGGGATCCCAGCAGGGGCTTAATAATGGACTTTTTTCCTTCTGTTCTTACTTTTTGTTTTTATACCACACACCATAGTTTGGAAACCATTTTAAAGTTAAGGTTGTGAATATTAAACAGGAAAGAGAATGAAGCCGAATGTTACCTTGTAGCGAAATTCAGATGTTAGTCCTTTTTCACTGCCTGTGTGGAAGGTGCAATAGCTTCCGAATGGCAGTTTCAATCTTGCTGAACGGACAAATTTAATAATAATGGTTAAACGTTATGCAGGTACAAGGGAAGTTATAATGGGCATGTGGATTTGTGAGGGGATCCGAATCTCCAGGGCATAGACTTGAACCTCCATCAGGAGACCAGAAATGGCCCGTAGCCACTGAATTGAACTAAACATGCTAGTGTTGCCCATAACAACAGTTGCTAGGAGACCTTTGCCAGGATGTGGAGGGGTGGGAATCGCTGCAGATCGTGGCACTATTTATCATCATACACCAGCAGGCTTGTTTAGGGTGAAGCCTGACACATGTGCTGAGAATGCCACATGATAGAAATGTCACGCACACACCGGGAAAAGAAAGCACTGGAGGAAAGTCTGAGAAATCATAAATGGCCGTCATGCAGCAGCCTGTGTGATTTCTGTCTGAAACTTCCAACAGGGCGTTTCGGTTGTGTGACAGGGTTAGATTTACTACGTAACCATCCTGCCTCATTAGGAGAAGTTTCGGAGGGGAAGGGAAGAGAGCATGGGCGAGAATAATGAAGATGTCATTACTCCATCAGTATTGGGATGGTGACTCTAGCAACCATCAACATAGTAGACTCTATTATCAATAGGCGGCCCAGGTGAGCATGCATTCGGAGCATCCTGTAAATCAATACATGATTTGATTTACAGTTCACCAAGTATCTCATGATGTAATGCACTTTCTGAGGTGCAAAGGACCCTGTTACTTACTTTTCCAAAGGTGTTACATCAATTCCAGCAAAAACACCACTATTCTTTGAATGGATTGGCTAAAAGTAATCCTAGCGTGAATGAATATTTCCAAAAATCACACCATGCTTTCAGCTGAGCAAACACTCACTCAGAAAGCATCTTTTCTTTTCTCTCTTTCTCCTATTCTCTGTTCCACTTGGCCAGTCTGTGCAATCTCAACAGTCAGGCTGGAATTCAGGTAGTTTCAGTAGTTACATTTTAGATCAGTAGAAACCTGCCTACCCCACCTGGCTTTTGCCAGTTTTTTTTTGTTTGTTTGTTTGTTTGTTTTTTCTTGAGACGGAGTCTCGCTATGTCGCCCAGGCTGGAGTGCAGTGGCGCAATCTCGGCTCACTGCAAGCTCCGCCTCCCGGGTTCAACCTAGTCTCCTGCCTCAGCCTCCCTAGTAGCTGGGACTACAGGTGCCCACCACCACGCCCAGCTAATTTTTTCTATTTTTAGTAGAGACGGGGTTTCACCATGTTAGCCAGGATGGTCTTGATCTCCTGACCTCCTGATCCGCCCGCCTCGGCCTCCCAAAGTGCTGGGATTACAGGAGTGAGCCACCGCGTCCGGCCAGCTTTTGCCAGTTTTAAAAGAACAATTCTCAACAAAACTTTTTGTTTTTATCAATTTAAAAGGCACTTTTAATTAGAGCAAATTAAGGAGATCCATGAGTCTATTAAGCCACGTAGGGTTATACAACCTAAGTAGCATTTCTGTTTCTGAGATTTTAATGCTTAAACAATCCAACAGTATCTCCACAGATGAAAAGTAAAGTCAGGCATCTCTGGGATGTTTTTCTATGAATGTGCCAGATAATTAAAATGACAGCAGCTTCAGGGTGAAATGTCAAGCCTAACTTTCTGTGTTCTCAATATTGACACATATTTTTACAGGTCATGAGGAAATAAGAGTCGAAAGGAATCAGTAAAAAAGCACCTCCTATTTACAGTAGCAGAGACTTGGAACCAACCAAAATACCCATCAATGATAGACTAGATAAAGAAAATGTGGCACATATACACCATGGAATACTATGCAGCCATAAAAAAGAATGAGTTCATGTCCTTTGCAGGGACATGGATGAAGTTGGAAGCCGTCATTCTCAGCAAACTAACACAGGAACAGAAAACCAAACACCACATATTATTACTCATAAATGAGAGTTGAACAGTGAGAACACATGGACACAGGGAGGGGAACATCACACACCGGGGCCTGTAGGGGGAAGGAGCATAAGGGGAGGGAGAGCATTAGGATGAGTACCTAATGCACTTGGGGCTTAAAACCTAGACGACAGGTTGATGGGTGCAGCAAACCATGAAGGCACATGTATACCTATGTAACAAACCTGCACGTTCTGCACATGTATCCCAGAACTTAAAGTAAAATATAAATAAATAAATAATAAAATAAAAAATGCTTCTTGCTCAAAAAGGAAGGGGGAACGGAAAAAGATATGTTAAAAGATCCTTTGGAGAAATGATGGGCCACGGTATGGAATTATTTTCCTAAGGAAGAAATGAAGTTGGTGACTATCGAATTTCTTGGCCGAACGCCACACAGTGGTTAAGACTCAGGCCTGGACTCATTACCTGGACTCATGTAGTGCCGGAACATTTTAGACAAGCTATTTAATCTAAATAAGTCTCTACTTCTCCTAGAAACTTGGAAACATAATTCTATCCACCTTGCAGAATTATTATGAGAATGAGATGATACCCCACATATAAGGTGCTTAGTACAGTGCCTGGCCCATTGTAGCTTGGCAATAGATGATAGAGAAGTGTAACTGGTGCCTTGTTGTTCTGTCAAATTGCTGGGAAAGTTCTCAGGTGGACTCCAGCGGGGAGCAGTGGCTGGGATTTAAGCACTTGCTGCCTGTCCCAACAGAGACACTGAGCAGAGAGGCAGGTGGGAGGGGTCCCATGAATGCACAGGTCTATTTTGGGACCCTTGAGTGACCCAAGTGGAGTAGGAGGCAAATGCTGCTGAAAGCAGATGAGAAAACAGGGCTGTGCGTGCCCTGCTGCTAGGAGAAGCTGGCCGAGGAGGACCCTCGCCAGCAGCCTTAGCACCCTCATCATAGTCAGTGTTCCGTAGACCCAGAATAAATAATGGATTCTCAGAAGGGACCTTAAGTGGTCAACATAATGAAGAGCATTTGCCTACCAGTTGGTAGCTCCTCATATTATCTTATTTGGTCCTAGCAACAGCTGTGTAGCATAAACAGAGCTGGAATTCTCTCTGTCTCTGTCTGTCTCTCTCTCAACAGCAGAGAAATTGATGCAGCCAGGTGCAGTGGCTCACGTCTGTAATCCGAGCACTTTTGGAGTCCAAGGTGGGTGGATCAGTTGAGGTCAGGAGTTCGAGACCAGCCTGGCCAACATGGTGAAACCCCATTTCTACTAAAAATACAAAAATTAGCTGGACATTGTGGTGTGGGCCTGTAATCCCAGCTACTCAGGAGACTGAGGCAGGAGAATCACTTGAACCTGGGAGGCAGAGGTTACAGTGAGCTGAGATCCTGCCATTGCACTCCAGCCTGGGCGACAGAGTGTGACACCATCTCAAAACAACAACAAAAAAAGAGAAATTGATGCCCCATATGTGTGACTTCTCCCTGATTAAATGCATCCGCTGAAAAAGTATAAGAAACAGCACCTAGCACACATCTCCTAACCCCATATCCCATATTCTAGAGTCTTGGCTTACCGTGACAGTGCTCGTCACTCCAGGTTCTATCTCCTCATCCTATCTGACTTCTGTGCAGCTGTGGGCACCCTACATATGGCCAAGAATTCACCTCTGCTTAAGGCCAGGAGTTCAAGACCAGCAAGGGCAGCATAGCAAGACCCCATCTCTATCAAAAAATTATAAAAATGTTTTAAAAACCGATTTTTTTTTTTTTTTTTTTTTTTTTTTGCTGACCTGTTGGAGTTCCTTCTCAGGGTAATTTATCTACAGTATCTCTAATTCTCACATAAACTCTTAAAATATAGGTTTCATTAGCTATACTTTATAGATGAGCAGACCCAGACCCAAACACACAGAACCAGGGTCACTCAGGAGCAGGGTGGATCCTCCTTGAAACGTTAGCTGTCCTCATTCTTAAATAGCATCTGTTCTGGATGTTTGCGCGTTGTTGGATTATTTGTTTGTTAATCTGTTGGCTGACCATCCTCTGAACCGCTTGCTGATTTGGGCACTCACCCATCCAGTAGATAAGGCAGTATGACACCCGAGCAGGGCCAAATGTTCCCTCTCTTGCCCTCAGGCAGTGGGGCACCGACTCATTGACCTAGACCCAGCTGATTGGAAGCCCTTGTCTGGTCCTCAGCATCCACAGAGGCAGCGCACCCTGGCAGGGCAGGTGGTGATCCGCAGAGCTGACCCAGGCTCCAGCAGCAGCAGCAAGCATCCAGTGGTATGGGGCCAGCAGCAGTGTCCTGGCTGTGACTGTGGGACCTCAGCTGTCTCTCCTGCCACCTAGACCTCGGCTCCTGCTCATCTTCTGCCTGTAGTTCTCTAGTCTCACTCCCAGTTCAATGAGTTCTTCAAATCCTTCCAATCACACCTCTTTCCTTGGATCAGCCTGCATTTCCTTCTTGGATTACAACCAAGAGCTCTTCATCCACGCTTCATGCGTGCATTCTACTGATGGGATGGTCTGCCCAGGACCCAAGTCCTCCTAAAGACCTATAAACAGGGGCAAGGCTGAGAATGAAATGGGACTAAGGAAAAGGGTTTTACTCTGATGTCTTTTGCCATCAAGTTGAAGGCAAGTGCGCGAAGAGCATCCCTTTTAGAAAATCGTCAAGAATAGGAAAGAAAGGCTCAAAGAGATGCCCTGGCAGATGATCGTGCATGAAGCTAGAGGAAGCCCTCTCTGTTTCACCTTCTTCCAGGACCTGCCAAATTCTTGCTCCAGGATTTAGTGAAACTTAGACACTCTCTCTTTTGGCCTAGGTTGCTGCATCTTTAAATATCAAAGTTTGGATTTGCTGCCTGATTCTTGGAAGAATCATGGGTGAATATGGTTTGGCACGGGAATTGTGGTCTGTGCTTAATTCTATACAGCACTTAGAAAATCATGGCAGGTCAAGCCTAATTATGTTCTTTCCTGGCCAGATGGCAACACCAGCAAATATTCTCAAGGACAGAAGATATTCTGCTGCACTCTGGAATCCTATGCTGATTTTTGTGACGGCTGCAACGGCGCAGCTGTCTTAAGCCGCTGGAGAGTCACTGGTGGGAAGCCCACCCACTGAACCCGTGGCAGTGGTGGATTCTGTTATACCCGTGTTAACAGGCATAACAAGTGTTCAGTAACAAACACCCCATTGAAGTAACAAATGGATAGGTGTTAACATTGCTCTGGAAGATGTATTATAGTGTAAACCAGGAACAACCATAAAACAGAGCGCTTCCTAGCAGTGCAGAGGGGAGTGTGTATGAAAAAATGGTGGTGGCGGCCGGGCGCGGTGGCTCACGCCTGTAATCCCAGCACTTTGGGAGACCGAGGTGGGTGGATCGCGAGGTCAGGAGATCGAGACCATACTGGCTAACATGGTGAAACCCCGTCTCTACTAAAAATAGAAAAAATTAGCTGGGCATGGTGGCGGGCACCAGGGACTCAGCTGCTCGGGAGGCTGAGGCCGGAGAATGGCGTGAACCCGGGAGGCGGAGCTTGCAGTGAGCCGAGATCGCGCCACTGCACTCCAGCCTGGGCGACAGAGCAAGACTCCGTGTCAAAAAAAAAAGACAGCTTAGGTTACCTATAAAGCCCTGCCTTTGACATAACACAGACCCAGAAAATACCCCACTGTGCCAGCCCAAACAACTACAGGTGAACTAATTACGAGACTTGAAGGGAACTACCCCTTCCACCTCTGCACGTACCTATATAGCAACAAATAAGAAAAAAGGAACGAGCACTACAAAAGTACAGTTGCTAAAGATAAATACTTGAAAGTCAGAGCTTGGAGCCATTTTAGTGTGATGCTAAAAATTCCCTGTAATTCGTGGATCCTGCATGAGACTCAGTAGCAACTGATCTAACGTAGAGCCACAGGGGCTGTTAGTAGAGGTGGGACCATGAGGCTGTGCCTCTGATGATGAAAGGGGAAGATCTGAATGCCCACCATAGAGACACTTCTCCAGCAGTTCTGGCTGAAAGTGTCAGCCATCCTAATACGGGAGAATTGGTTTTTAGCATCGAGCTTACGCTGTGGTTATCAGGTTCTGTTTGTAGAACAAAGCCAGGGCCCTTCTCATTGGGACCCACATAACAAATCCATAGACCATAGTCACAGAAGACTGGCTTTGGCATTAAATGTGTCTTCAGAATGCCGAATTCCAGCCCTGCTATGGCGTCCCCAAATAGAGCCACCGACTTGTATCTGGCAGCCCAGAGTAACGTGGGCTGGCTGCTACCTAAGAAGAATTCCCTCGTGCCTAATTTCACATCAACCCCGGGATCCCTCTGAGATCCAGGGGACCAATGGAGAAGAGAAAGTTGCTGATAAGAACTTTACTGAATGCACAACGATAAAAACAGAGTTGGTCTCTGATGTTTTGGTCAGTGTGATGGGTGGCCTCAGAACTTACAGACATTTCACCAGGGACTCAAACAACCCAACCCAGAAACATAGGGTTGCAGTGGTTGGTTCAGCCACTGATGGGTTTTTTTTTTTCTTCTTCTTCCCTGAAGTCCTACTGAATAGGGAATCAATATTAGAGATGCTTATCTTCACAGATGCTATGTCAAGAGTTCAGACAAAAAAAGATGCATTTTCATTTATCTGCCTGTCTGTGGCTGAGCAGGGTGAGATCGTGTGTTCTGTGCTTAGTCTTGGGAGGCAATACATTAGTCTTCTCTGCCATTAGCTTGGGATTTCTTTCTTAGCCCTTTATCTTGGCACAGTAGAAAGGAAGAGATATTTAAATTTTCAGCAATGGCAAAATGTTGCCTATTTAGAATATTTTCCCTGTGTCCCATTGATTTATTATTGCAGACTCACTTTCAGAAACATCTCTCTAGCCTTTTACATGCTGAATTAAAATCTGAAGCAGATTCTGATTCTGACTTTAGCTCTTGAAATTGCGAAAGCCAATCAAGTGCATGGCTGTGCAGCCTCATTGCAGCTGCCGCTCCTTCTCCCAGCCTCCCAACTGTGCTGAGCGCATTCTTTTGTAAGGAAGCAAAAGCAGTGAGTCTTTTTCAGCGTGCCTGTTTTTATTATTTTCCAGTCTGTTCTGATTCTTGTGCATTTCCAAAGGTCTTACATCCTATACTAACTAGGGCCACAAAAGCACTCAGGATGATTGAGGTGTTTGTTTGTTTTGAGATGGAGTCTCACTCTGTCCCTGAGGCTGGAATGCAGTGGCACAATCTCGGCTCACTGCAAACTCCACCTCCTGAGTTCAAGTGATTCTCCTGCCTCAGACTCCTGAGTAGCTGGGATTATAGGTGTGCACCACCATGCCTGGCTAATTTTTTTGTATATTTTTAGTACAGATGGGGTTTCACCATGTTGGCCAGGCTGGTCTTGAACTCCTGACCTCAGGTGATCTGCCCTCCTCGGCCTCCCAAAGTGTTGGGATAACAGGTGTGAGCCACTGCTCCTAGCCAGATGACTGAGTTTTGTGTGAGGATAATTTCGTGGAATCAGATGCTTCTGAGGATATGTATTTTTGCTCTCCAATGGAGGTAGAATAACTAATTATATCATATTAAGAGTAACCATTTAATGACTGCTTACACTGTGTCAGGTACTTTCATATGCATTCACAATAATCCTGTTGACATTATTCCCATCTTACAGATAAGGAAACTGAGTCTCAGAGGATTAAGAAAATGCCAGAGAGACATGCAACTACTATGTGTCACACTGGGTTGAAATACCTGTCTCAAAAAGTCTGTATTTTTTTTTCCTACTCTACAACTCTATCTGTAGAACTAAAATTATTGGAAGACCTAGCCAGAGTAATCAGGCAAGACTACGAAATAAAAGACCAAATAGGAAGAGAGGAAGCCAAACTATCTCTCTTTGCAGGTGATTTGATTCTCTACCTAGAAAACCCTAAAGTCTCTGCCCAAAGGCTTTTAGATCTGATAACCAACTTCAGCAAAGTTTCAGGATTCAAAATCTGGGTACACAAATTAGTAGCATTTCTATACACCAATAACATCCAAGCTCAGAGCCAAGTCAAGAACACAATCCCATTCACAATTGCAATAAAAGAATAAAAAATCTAGCAATACAGCTAACCAGGGAGGCTGAAAGATCTCTACAATGAGAATTACACAACACTGCTGAAGAAATCAGAGATGACACAAACAAATGGAAAAACATTCCATACTCATGGATAGGAAGAATCAATACCTGTCCATACTACCCAAAGCAATTTCTAGATTCAGCAGCTATTTTTATCAAACTATAAATGACATTCTTCACAGAATTAGAAAAAACTATTCTAAAATTCATATGGAACCAAAAAGGAGCCCAAATAGCAAAAGCAATTATAAGCAAAAGGCACAAAGCTAGAGGCATCACATTACCCAACTTCAAACTATACTGAAGGGCTACAGTTACCAAAACAGCAGGGTACTGGGACAAAAACAAACAAACAGACCAATGGAACAGGATACAGAACCAAGAAAAAAAGCTGCAAATGTACAACCATCCAATCTTTGACAAAGCCAACGATAACAAAAAATGGGAAAAGGATTCCCTATTCAATAATGGGTGCTGGGATAACTGGCTAGCCATATGCAGAAGATTGAAACTGGACCCCTTCCTTTCTCCATATACAAAAATCAACTCAAGATAGATTAAAGACTTAAAAGTAAAACCTAAAGCTAAAAAAATCATAGAAGAAAACCCAGGAAGTACCATTCAGGACATCAGCCCTGGCAAAGATTTCATGACAAAGACTCTAAAAGCAATTACCATGAAAACAAAATTGACAAGTGGGACCTGATTAAACTGAAGAGCTTCTGCACAGAAAAAGAAACTATCAACAGAGTAAACAGACAACCTAAAGAATGGGGAGAAAATATTTGCAAACTATGCATCTGACAAAGGTCTAATATCGAGCATCTATAAGAAATGTAAAGAAATCAACAAGCAAGACACAACCCACCCCCTTAAAAATGAGCAAAAAACATAAACAAACACTTCTTAAAAGAAGACATGCTCGTGGCCAACACACATAAGAAAAAATGCTCAACATCACTAATAGAGAAATGCAAGTCAAAACCACAATGAGAGGCCGGGCACAGTGGCTCACGCCTGTAATCCCAGCACTTTGGGAGGCCAAGATGGGCGGATCAAAAGGTCAGGAGATCGAGACCATCCTGGCTAACACGGTGAAACCTCGTCTCTACTAAAAACACACAACAAAAATTAGCCGGGCGTGGTGGTGAGTGCCTGTAGTCCCAGCTACTCAGGAAGCTGAGACAGGAGAAGGGTGTGAACCCGGGAGGTGGAGCTTTCAGTGAGCCGAGGTCATGCCACTGCACTCCAGCCTGGGTGACAGAGCAAGACTCCGTCTCAAAAAAAAAAAAAACCACAATGAGATATCATCTCATACCAGTCAGAATAGCTATTATGAAAAAGTCAAAAAACAACAGATGATGGTGAGGCTGCAGCAAAAAGGGAACACTCATGCACTGTTGGTGGGAATGTAAATTAGTTCAGCAACAATGGAAAGGAGTTTGGCGATTTCTCAAAGAACTTAAAACAGAACTACCATTTGACCCAGCAATCCTATTACTGGATATACATCCAAAGGAATATAAATCATTCTACCCTAAAGACACAGGCACTCATATGTTCATTGAAGCACCCTTCACAATAGCAAAGACATGAAATCAACCTTAGTGCCCATCTGGATAAAGAAACATGGTACATATACACCATGGAATACTATGTAGCCATAAAAAAGAACAAAATCACGTTCTTTGCAGCAACATGGATGCAGCTGGAGGCCATTATCCTAAGTGAACTAAAACAGAAACAGAAAAATCAAATACCACATGTTCTCACTTATAAAGGGAAGTCAAACATTGAACAAGCATGGTCACAAGGAAGGGAACAACAGACACCAGCGCCTGCTTGAAGGTGGAAGGTGGAAGGAGGGTGACAACGGAAAAGCTACCTATCGGATACTGTGTTCATTACCTGGGTGACAAAATAGTCTGTACTCCAAACCCAAACAACATGCAAATTCCCCGTGTAAGAAACCTGCAAAAGTATCTCCTGAACCTACAGTAAAAGTTGGAAAGAAAAAAATCACAATAAAAAATTTTAAAAATTCTCGTCAGGAATTAAGAGTACCAATGATAGCTCCTGTGAGTAGCAATCGTACAGCCACAGCCAAAACAAATGACAATAATGATAACTAATATGGGCTGAGCATCTACCAGGGGCCAAGATCTTTATGCGCATGGTCTTCATAATCCTCACAATCATTTTGTGATTTAGAGACTATTTTTATTCCTATTTCAAAAACAGGCAAAGTGAACCCTAGAATAGCTAAAGAAATTTGCACAGGACACGCATTTGTACTTAATGGAGTTGAACCTCAAACCCAGGTCTACAGGAACCAGATTCCACGTTCTTAACCATTCTTCAGTGACAACAACAACTGGCAAAATGGTACCTAAATTTGGTGTTTTTGTCCCAAGATGCTAGGGGGGAGAGGGCCCCACATTTCTGATTTGGGAAATGAGCAACTGTGGTGAACTTCTATGGACTGTAAAGGAGAGGTGTGCACCGTTGCTTGTGTTTTATTCAGAAATGTGTATACATGGCTGTCATTAGAAAGATGGGTAGTAACTATTTATAAGAAGCTCCCTGTGCAGTTGAGCTCTGAAAACCTCTCTCACAATTAGATCAGCCTTCCTCTATAGACAGAGATGGAGAGAAGCAAATTGGATTTTCCACCAATTCTCAAAGGGCATGAACTCAACTTTTATAGTTCATAGGACAATTCATGTTTTGATTTGGGGCAGAATGACCCCATGTAGAGAGGACAGGATAGCTAGATTGTATGAGTGTTCAGCTTTGTTACAATGTGATAGCTCTAGGGAGTCAGAATTTTAGTTTTATATTTTATATAGGATGTGTTGATGTTAAATGGCTTGCTTTTTAAAATAAAAATGTGTGTGTGGGTTGTCGGGTTCAGTAGCTCGCACCTGTAATCCCAACATTTTGAGAGGCTGAGGTGGGAGGACGGCTTGTGCCCGCGAGTTCAAGACCAGCCTGGGCAACTTACTGAGACTCTGTCTCTACATCTTTTTTTAAAAATTAGCCAAGCATTGTGGTGCACACCTGTAGTCCCAGCTACTCGGGAGGCTGCAGTGGGAGGATCTCCTGAGCATGGGAGGTCGAGGCTGCAGTGAGCTACAATTGCTCAAATCATAAGAGTACATAATTTATTTTGTAAGAGTACATAAGTTTCTCTGGTTGACGTATTTCCATAGCTGCTTTTAGTTTCAAAAGTGGGGCTACTTAAAGAAATGTAATATTTTGAGTAGCACAAGTTTAAATGATAGGATATGTGCAACCCACATATCCACCCATGCAACCAACTTGGTTTTAAATAATGTGTTTAAATCCTAGGTCAATGCTTATGTGGTCAATGCTTTATTTTATTACCTCTATTAGAATATATTTTCTTAAGTAGGTTTTTAAAAAAATTGAACTAGTCAAATGAGAAAGTTGTCTTATCCTGGAAATGAGTTCAGGGTCTCTTCCCCTCCCACCATTCAAAAGGCCTGGTTTTAGCATCTTAAAAAAAAACAAAAAACAAACAAAAAAAAAACAAGAAAAAACATTTCTCCAACATTAGCACTGCTGAAGGGGAGCAAAGATAAGAAAAGTCCACATGAACAGGTCATTCCAGCAGGGCTCGTGTTAGACCGTGGGGCATATTTTAATGCTACTGTCACACCGTGCTTAAACAGCTATTGTGGGAATACTCAGTGCTTTAAACTAAATAACAAAGCAACCTTGGATCATCTGATCCAGAAGTTCTAGACAACTGACCTAACTCCTAGAATTCTGCTTTTGAACAGTGAGGGATTAATTGTAATTTTTCTTCATGTCAGAAATTAATTGCATGTATTTTTCAATTACTAAAAAAAAAAAGCAAACAAATAGAAATTAGTGATGTGTATTAATCCAGAACCTAATCTGCTTTAACTCAATTACTCCAGATGCGTGAATCTCCTGTTGGGTTGGTTGCAAGTTGACTCAAATTCGTTGTTTCACTTTTGCTGCAGGTTAAAAGTCTGCCTCTTACAAACCCTGGCTATATCACCCTCTTGTTTCTAACTAAACAAGATTTTCTCAAATAAACTTCATTCTGCATTTTGGACAATAACTTTTTGCTTTCTTCAAATAAAACAGGGTTAGCAAAACACTATTTTCACCTACAAAATTAAACATTTGTAAATTGGCTTATGAGTAGGTAATTAATCACCCAAGCCAGAGCCCTTAGGAGAGTCAATGGGAACATTATTAATAATTAAGCTCAAACAATAAACTTAAGCTGGATGGTCCCAATCAAGTGGGGACATATGGTCACTGTATTTTTGTGAATATATCGTCATTGTATATGCTCTGTGAGGATATAAATTGGATTTGAATTCCTGGGTGTGAGTTTTGCAACAAGAATAATGACAGAAGTCTTCCAACTATCAACATTTGAATCTAAAATGATTTGATTAAAACTTCTATGCTGGGTGCGGTGGCTCACACCTGTAATCCCAGCACTTTAGGAGGCTGAAACAGGTGGGTCATGAGGTCAAGAGATCGAGACCATCCTGGCCAACATGGTGAAACCCTGTCTCTACTAAAAATATCAAAATTAGCTGAGCATAGTGGCACGCACCTGTAGTCGCAGCTCCTTGGGAGGCTGGGGCAGGAGAATTGCTTGAACCAGGGAGGCGGAAGTTGCAGTGAGCCAAGATCGCACCACTGCACTCCAGCCTGGTGACAGAGCAAGACTCCGTTAAAAGAAAAAAAAAATTCTGGCCAGAAAACTTTGTTAGAAAGCAAAATAGTCACAAAGTTATCATTTTCAACAAATTCTTAGCAATGCTGGTCAACACCTACTATGAGCCAGGAACCTGTTCTGGGGTCTAGAGATGCGACTGTGTGACCAATAGCATCTCATGCATCCTAGAGCTTCCAGTCTAGTGAAGAATGTGGATGCAGAAATTGGGTATTTCAGTATTTTATGAGTAAAAGAAAGGAGATTATGAGAAAACAAAAAGAGGACACCTCATGCAGGCTTGGTGTAAGTGACGCTCAAGCTGAGAGCATAGGAATGGGGAGGCTAGAACACTAAAGAGAGGGCTGGGCACCCTGGCTCACATCTGTAATCCCAGCACTTTGGGAGGCCGAGGTGGGTGGATCACTTGAGGTCAGGGGTTCAAGACCAGCCCAGCCAACATGGCGAAACCTCATCTCTACTAAAAATACAAAAATTAGCCGGGGTTAGTGGTACATGTCTGTAATCTCAGCTACTCAGGATGCTGAGGCAGGAGAATCGCTTGAACCCAGGAGGTGGGGATTGCAGTGAGCCGAGATTGTGCCACTGCACTCCAGCCTGGGTGACAGAGTGAGACTCTGCCTAAAAAAAAAAAAAAAAAAAAAAAAAAAGAAGAAGAAGAGAAGGAGGAGGAGGAAGGGGAAAGAAGAAAGAAGACGACTAAAGAGATGAACCTGAACCAGAGTGCTCCAGGCTGAGGGAAGAGCATGCCCAAGTGCCTGGGTGCAAGAGGAAAGCTTGGCACCTTCAGGGAATTGGAAGTAGATCCATCTTGCGGGCATGTGCAGCCCTCGTGGGGAGTGGTCAGCCATGAGGCTGGGTGTGTGGGCACTAGATCGTGGCAGGCCTGAGGAACTGTGACAAGGAATTTTGACTTTATAGGAGGGTCATTGGGCTCCGTTGAAGTACTTTAAGGGCAATGTCAGGTGTTTTAAAGAAAGACCTCCCAGTCTAGGTGTGAAGAGTCGATTGGGGTCTTGGAAGGCAGCGGGGAGCAGGAGGGCAGTAAAGCGGACCAGGAGACAGGCAAGAAGGAATGATGAACGCCAACAGAGGGCAGTGATAGTGACCGAGAGACCCTCGTGAGGTGGAGCCTTGCAGGCAGTTCCATGGATTTGATGAGGTGACGAATGAAGGATGGTGCTTTGGGTTGAACTGTGTTCTCCTCACATTTATATGTTGGAGTCCTAACCCGCCATGCCCTTAGAACACGGGCAAGTTTGGACACAGACATGGACCATGGGAAGATGTAAAGACACAGGGAGAAGATGGCCATCTACCAGCCCAGAAGAGAGGCCTATAAGGGATCCTTCCAGTATGGCGCCCGGAAGGAACCAACCCTACCAAAACCTTGCTTTTGCATTTCTTGCTTCCAGAACTGTGAGACTGTACATTTCTATAGTTTAAGCAACCTGGTCTCTGGAACAGGCACAAAATAGCTGAAACACACTGATGTATACGATGATAACACAATTTTTAACATGTCAACTTTGGGTGTCTGCGTGATCTCCAAGGAGAGAGGTACAGTGAGCTGTTGAATGGTCCAGGCTTGGGAGACAGAGCTGGGCATGGAGTTACTGAGGAGTCCTCTGCACATAACTCACACCCAGGGAAAACATGCGGGGCTTAAAACCTAGATGATGAGTTGACAGGTGCAGCAAACCACCATGGCACATGTGCACCTACATAATAAACCTGCATATGTATCAAGAACTTAAAGTAAAATTTTTTAAAATTTAAAAAAAACATGCAGGGAGGTGACCTGAGAGAGAACGTTACTGTAACTTTGATGTTGGACACTTACTTCAAATCTCAAATAGATGAAAAAGGCTCTGTTACACATTGCTTTAGAATATTTACTTGTAGGAACTAGCAAGACCAGCTCCTTATCAGTAGAATATCTGGCCACCCAGAGGTCAGCTTTGGCCAAGAAATGACCCCTTTGAGATGGCCCTAGAACACACTGGGAGATTCTGACTCATACAAAACTTCTGAGCAACAATATCTAGAACCCAAACGCCAGTTTATTCATGTATCAGGAGAAATCGAACTGGCAGGTAGAACAGATACACATGTCTGTCTAACCAGCTTCTTCTATCACTTACAGAAGAGCTACAGAGGGAAGCAAATCATCAGAAGGTTGTTTGGTGCACATGCAATCAGAACAAGGGGGTTAATGGTGTGAATTTGTAATGAGATCAGGCTGCAATAGCCTGATGTGTTCCTCACAATCGGGAGGGGATTGCCAAGCAGACTGTACATCCCTCTGTCCCATCAGCTGTCAGCTGGCTGCCCTCTGCCCTGGACAGTGCATGGAAGCCGGGCCAAATCTCATCTAAAAGAATTTCCTTTTGTTATTTTCACTGTGTTTCCATAGATGACCCACTTCATGCAAATGAAGGCACGGTTTCCCTTGGGAATATTAATCTCTTCGATCAGATTGAAGACTTTTCTTGCTACCCTAGGACCTCTTGCCTTCTTTGAAGCAGTTTGGTGTCTCTCTGCTTTAATCCATTAGGTGTTGATTTGAAAGCTTTTCTTCCTTCATTTCCACATTCTTGGCTACGGGGTTGGGATTGAGGGTTGGGGATGAGGTTTCACCATACTTCTCATTTACATTTTATAAATTTAATATGTTCAAAATGATGATTTTAGTAGTGACGATTTTAGGCTAAATGTTTTTCAGCAATGTTTTATGTTAATTTGTAAAATATTATTAACTTACCGCCACCTGGTGTATATTTATTCTTTCACTGTTCCTGCTAATTCTAATAAGAATGTCAAGCTTATTTGCAGTCAGGTGACTCTGTTACTATGGGGGACACTTGCATTTTTAGGGATTTTTAGAGTTCAGATGTTGTACATCATGATGAGAGGGGGCAGAGCACATTTATTGAAGATTTGCCATTGTATTTCTTTGAGCCCTCTTGGATATTTTCTTTCTACCTTATTAAGTAGGTCAATAACGGCTTCCTCTGGACCTGCTCTACATCAGTTGCAAGTTAGACTTACAAAAAAAGTTGACAAAACTTGAGGCCTGTCTCCCCATAGCTTCAGGCCAGTGAAATGAAATTAGTCAATTCTCTCCTCTTAACATAGTCTGTCATCAAAATTCATACGCTCCAAGGAGATAAATGAGAGACTCTTTTAAGCTTCCTTCTCTTATCTTTTGCTGCTTTGGGACTGGAATCTAGGTGGGGCCCTGAACAGTTGAAATTTTATCCACGTAGGCTGACTTGCCAGATGCTAATACTTTGAAACTCTTCACAGAAAAAAAAAATCAAAATTTAATCAAAGTGCAAACAATTTTGACTGTCCAAAATGCTTCCCTGGTAAATAGATTAACTGGCCTTTTAATTGGCTGGGACCAAAGTCTTTCTGCCCAGTATGAGTAGGAGTGGAAATGAGGGAAGAAAGACAAAGTCAACTAAACCACAGCTATGCTCTCACAGGGCCCTCCTTTGATGGGGAGGTGGACACATATGCAGGTCACTGTGGCAAGTGTTCTAGGAAAGCTACAAAGTGCTGCAGAAGAACAAGGATGGCAGAGAAAGCAGAGACATCTTGGAGCACAGAGGCAGAGCTGCAGGTGTCTGCAACACTTTTAGAAATGAGGACCTTGATTCTTTGAGACATTCCTCAGAAACCGGGCTATTTTTATGGAGCTGGCTTTCTGCACACTTTTTTTTTCTTTTGGCAGAGAAGAGGCACGGATTTGAAAGAGGAGCTAGTTCTTTCCATCAGATGGGGCAAAGCAGCCCCGTCCTGTTTGTGAGAGCCACAGGACTCCTCGCCTGAGCAGAGCAATGGACAATGTATGTCCCTTTTCAAAGGAAGTGATTTGAGGGAATGCAGGGCAAACTCCCGATGCAGATGATCCATATTAGAGAAGGGTCCCCGAAAATCTTTTCAGTTTGTTGCTTAGCAGGAAAGAGTTAATGAGGGTAGAGAAATGGAGTATCTATCCCACAGGTGCCCATGGGTTGCAGAGGGGAGTCCAACGACAGGGAGATGTGGGGTTGCTAGAATATCTTCTTTTAGCCATATGTTGCATTTGGCTTTATTCTCTCTTTCTCTCTCTCTCTCTCTCTTTTTTTTTTTTTTTTTTCATTTTGAGACATGGTCTTGCTCTGTCACCCAGGCTGGATTGCAGTAGTGCAATCATAGCTCACTGCAGCCTCAACCTCCCAGCCAGAAATGATCCTCTCACCTCAGCCTCCCGAGCAGCTGGGACTGCAGTTGTGTGCCTCCATGCCTGGCTAATTTTTTGATATTTTGTAGAGACAGGGTTTCCCTATGTTGTCCAGGCTGGTCTCAAACTCTTGGCTCAAGTGATCCTCCTGCCTTGACCTCCAAAAGTGCTGGGATTACAGGTATGAGTCACCATACCCAGCCCCTATTTGGCTCTTTTTGAGCCAAGAACTCCAAAGAAAATGCAGGGGAGCCAACGGCAGTGTAGTCTGTTGCCTTCTAGAGAGCAGCTCTTCCAAGAGATAAGCCTGGATTTGACCTCCACTCCAGATATGGGGGAAGAAAGGAAGAATTTTCTCCTTGCTCACACAGTGAGGGAACAGGCATTCCTGGTCCCAATGGAGAAAAGGTGGTTCTGGGGAGAGGCACCATGATGACTTTGCCTAGCAGTTGTGCCTGCTCCATCCGGAGATGTGGACCCTAGAAGTCTGCATCTCAGGGGAGGTGAGAATCACTAGGCCAGTGGCTGTCACTGGTGTTTTGTTGTTGTTGTTATTGTTGTTGTTGTTTTTGAGACAGAATCTCAACTCACTCTGTTGCCCAGGCTGGAGTGCAGTGGTGCAATCTCAGCGCACTGCAACTCTGACTCCCAGGTTCAAGCAATTTTCATGCCTCAGTCTCCAGAGTAGCTGGGATTATAGGCATGAGCCACTATGCCAGGCTAATTTTTGTATTTTTAGTAAAGATAGGGTTTCACCATGTTGGCTAGGCTGGTCTGGAACTCCTGAGCTCAGGTGATCTGCCTGCCTTCAGGTGAACCTCCTAAAGTGCTGGGATTACAGGCATGAGGCACCGCACCTGGCCTACAGAGCCTGTTGCAATCACCAAAGCCACAGTGCCACTTGAAATCAACAATAAACAATGTTTTTTTTTCCAAGGAGATTTCACTCCAGTCCTCTTCTACTCAATACCATGGCCTGATTCTGCAGTGGGGAGGGAGAGGGATGGAGAGAAACACAATTTGAGTGGGACGGGGTCATATATGATGGGAATCACATTTGAATATCATTTGTAAGAAGTAGCTTCTAATTTCTAAGTATCTGTTCCTACTCTTGATTTAGAATATCTGCTGTTACAGATGGCCTGGTTTCTCTATTTCTCTCTCTCTCTCACTCTAATCAAGTCAAGTTTCTCACATCTTCTGCTCTCCAAAGATGATTCTGATGATTGGGCAACTGGATAGACATCACTTACCTTCTCCAGGTACGCTCAGCAGGGGCCAAGCTTGGCTACGCATTTCGCACGCTAGAGAGCACCTCTACTTCCACGTTCAAAGCTACACTCACGTTGAATAATGAGACCTTTTGCTAAGCAAGGCTCACTGAGGTTTGTTGATAATTATTCGGCCCTGTCGACAAAGAACCCAAACATACAGGAGTTTCAAGTGATTTCACAGCTGATTTATATGCACAAAGAATAATTAACATCCTGTATTTTTCCATGCCAGATTGAGTCTCATTTGAATATCGAAAGATATGCCATTTTAAAATAATTTCATACTTCGCTGATGAACTAAAATTGAGACATTGGACACATATGGCATGTACGTGGTAGTGGGCAAATGAACAATCATTTTCTCCCTTTAAAAAGACAGAGACCGCAAAACCTACAAGAAGTAATTACCTACCTTCCTGAGAAGCAGCAATCATTTTTAAGCCTGTTATCTAGAAAAACAAACTGGGGCCTCACTACCCAATCTTCAACTGCAGACCCTCCAATAACACAGACAGGTTCAGAAACAAAATCACTGGCGGCGCATTGTGACTCACATCTGTAACCCCAGCACTTTGGGAGGGTGAGGCAGGAGGACTGCTTAAGTCCAGGAGCTTGAGATCAGCCTGGGCAACATAGTGAGACCCCATCTCTAAAAAAAAAAAATTACCCGGCGTGGTACTGTGTACCTGTAGTTCCAGCTACTTGGGAGGCAGAGGCGGGAGGATCACTTGAGCCCAGGAGTTGGAGGCTGGAGTTAGCCATGATCACACCACTGTACTCCAGCCTGGGCAACAGAGCAAGAGATTAAGAAGTACAGATATAGTCAGACTTCTCCCTAAGGTTAAAAGTAATGATGTTAGGGCTAAAGCAAACCAATTTGGTTTTGAAAAAGACAAAATGTTGCAATTCCCCTCTCCAGATCACGCCATTCAGGGTTGGCCCTAACACACTAGGATAAAAGAGCCTGTATTTGGTATAACTCCTGAGCTGAATTTTCTTGATTCTCCAGGCTATGAAATTAGGCCACATCTCCACCAATGCTCTCCCCTTGGCTCCCTTCCCCAAAGCCTCTCTACCCTCCACAGATGGAGCAGTTATCCCTGACCTATGGACAGCCAGCCTCCAGCTAAGCTCTCACAACTGTGCTGATCCAGGTAAGAAAAGTTAAGGGGCCTCAGGGCAGTAGGGCAGCCCCCTGCAGCATCAGATCATCTTGCTTCTGCTTTGCCCCATCAAGGAGGAACCTGAGTTTGCACCTTGATTCTCCTCTTCCCAAGTCTTGCCACCATTCGCTGCATGTTCTCCATGTTTATTCAGGAAGTCTTTCCTCAATCTCTCTGCTCCTCAATCCAGCCAATACAGCAGGGTTCCTGCTCCTCAATCCAGACTATTATGGTAGGGTTCCTGCCCCTCAGTCCAGCCTAAATAGTCAGGTTCCTGCTCCTCAATCCAGCCAATATGGTAGGGTTCTGCTCTTCAGTCCAATCAATACAGTAGAGTTCCTGGTCCCTGATACCACCTGCCTCTGAGCTCTGGGAGCCCCCAGTAAACACACACACACACACACACACACACAAACACACACACACACACACACACACACACGCAACTCAGCCAACTCCTCTGGTTGCCTCTTGTATGCCAGGGCTGCCAAGCCTCCATGGAGGCACCCCTCCTCTGCTGGTCCTCTATTGAATGACTCTGGTCTCTGACACTCCCACTGCTGCACTGAGGTCAGCGAATTTAAGAGTCATTTACTGCAGAATCAGAAAGCTTTCAAGATAAGTGAATTTCCTCTAATCGGTGGGATTTCAGACAGTATGGCAATGTGAAGAATTTCATGTAGGAGAACCCACATACAAAAAATTCAATTATTGGCCTCAAGGCGGGGGATAGAGATGGGGTCATCCTGGCACCCCCTTTGGGGCATGGAGGGGATTGACTAATGGGGAACATCACCTCCCTAAAAGTCAAACTCACCTGCTTTTACCACAAAGTGCTTAAAGGAGTTTATGTTGACGGCCAATTTTATCTTTGAATGAGCATGACAAATTAGTCATATTGCCACCAAATAAAGCCAGAGCTGTTTCCCGAAGTGGGGCCATATAAACAAGGCACTTTGAGGCTTGACTTGGTGGAGGTGACTCACACTGACCACTGACTTGGTGTGTGGGAGCCCCTTTGAGTACGATGATATGTTGCAGTTCATCAGTGCTGAACAGTTTCGTCATTTAGAAGGGCAAGGGCAAATGGATGCTAATCACTAGAACGTAAGTTCTGGGATGACAGCAGAGGACAACCCAGACCCGGGATTGTCAGGACCACATGGTCGTCATGGACAGTAGACACCCTGGCATGAAAACTGCTTCGTCACTTCACAGATAGGCTCTAGACACCATTCGCAATAGATAGGGAAACATACATTCTAGAAATCTCCACCCTTCTCTCTTATCTTGAATTAGGGGGAAATGTACTTTCATCACTCTCAATAGCAAGTAGTTCAGGGTTTCAGGCAGGACTAGCATCGCTTGTGATTAAACATCTGAAAAAATTCAAGTCTTGACCAAAAACATCATTTCTCCTCCCCGCCGGCAGACTATGTTCCCTAAATGAGTCTGGACTGAGGATGCACACAGGCAGCCTCCCAGCTTGCCCTGGGCACTTCTGAAGTTCCCCAGTCCCTTCTCTGAAGGTGTTACATGGGGCTTAGCTGTCTCTGTGTACTCTCATGTCTTGAAAAACAAAACAGTTCTTGGGAACAGTCAGGATCACACCGAGCACTGTGACTCAGTAGAAAAAGCAAAGGTTTGCAGCATCAGACATGATGGAATTTGAGGTCAGCTTCCACCTTGTACCATGACCTCAGAGAGCTGCCTGACCATCTCCAAGCACGGGTCCCTCATTTGTGAATAGGAAGAGTTATATTACTTTGCAAATTTCTGATGGCATCAGAATGCGCTGGCACAAAGTAGGTGCTCAGAGAATATTTGTGGGAGGTTGTGGATTACCTAATTTCACTTGTCAGTCCTGACATAGGTTCCAGGATACCTAGGTCCTTATTAAAAGCATCGGGCAGAGGGGACAGAATGGGTGTCCTCCAACACAGAAGAATGGTTGCCCCTTAAGACAGGGATCCTGAGACTCAAGATGCCTGTGGTCACAAAGGGAACCTACCCTAGTGCTTGGACAGTGCAAAACAAACTGGAAACACTGGCTTTTGAGATGTCTTTGTTGTTGTGTTTCCATCTCTCTTTGTCAAACTAATTGAGCCTTGTGTATCTGGCTTTCTCACAGGTATCCCTCTCCCTTGCCTTCCTCTTACTTCCTATGTTCCTAGCCCCTCCTCTTATCCCCTTCTTACTATGATTACCAAGTGTATAGCTAAAACACATCTTTTTTTTTTTTTTTTTTTTTTTTTTTTTTTTTTTTTTTTGAGATGAAGTCTCACTCTTGTTGCCCAGGCTGGAGTGCAGTGGTGCAATCTCGGCTCACTGCAACCTCTGGCTCCTGGGTTCAAGTGATCCTCCTGCCTCAGCCTCCCAAATAGCTGGGATTACAGGTGCCCACCACCACACCCGGCTAATTTTTGTATTTTTAGTAGAGATAGAGTTTCACCATGTTGGCCAGGCTCATTTGGGAGGGGCCAGAGACAGAATGATATGGTTTAGCTCTGTGTCCCCACCCAAATCTCATCTTGTAGCTCCCATAATTCCCACATGTGGGAGGGACCTGGTCTTGAACTCCTGACCTCAGGCAATCCCCGCACCTGGGCCTCCCAAAGTACCGGGATTACAGGCGTGAGACACCGTGCCCAGCCACTAAGACACACCTTAATCCAGCCCTGTGACTTCCCGCAATGTAAGCGAATCACATGAGATGACATGAGATTGTAAATACAAAGAACTTCATAAACCATAAAATCTTATACAAATGTAAGGGATTATGATGATTTTTATGTAACTATGACTGAAAGCTAGTGGGTTAATCCAAAGGATGATACCTCAGCTGTTTTGAGTTCTAATCTGTGGCAGAGAATGAACATTTAAACAACTATGCCCACTGGATGAAAGAAGAAGTTAGTCAAATTCCTCAGTTACCTTCTCTGCTGGTGTGAATGGGCATATGGGTAAGAAGGGGATCATTGTGTATAATCTTCAGGAAAATCTTCAATTGCATTTCATACCAATTTAAACAAACAGAATCATGATAGAATTGGGAAGTGTCTGGATATAGATTGCAAAAAAAGCAGAGTAGAAATAAGCTGGGCACCATGGCTCATGCCTATAATCCCAGCACTTTGGGAGGCCCAGGCGGGTGGATCAGTTGAAGTCAGGAGTTTGAGACCAGCCTGGCCAACATGATGAAACCCATCTCTACTAAAAATACAAAAACTAGCCAGGTGTGGTGGTGAACGCCTGTAATCCCAGCTACTTAGGAGGCTGAGGCAGGAGGATCACTTGAACCCAGGAGGTGAAGGTGGCAGTGAGCTGAGATAGTGCCACTGCACTCCATCCTGGATGACAGAGTGAGACTCTGTCTCAAAGCAAAAAAAAAAAGAGAGAGAGAGTAAAAATAAATGATCACTATCTTGGTGGAGACCCTGCCAGCCTACACAGCACCTGCGTGAGAATTTTCAAAAGGTGGCCTTCTCTATAAGTGGACAGAGACCTGTCTGGGAGCCAGCGCCTAGGTTGCAGAGAGCCAGCTGGATTTCAGCCCTGATGCCCTTTGACTAGGCCACCACCTCATGACCCTGGTGGGTGGTTGAATTCTTCTGTTTTCATGCTGCTGATAGAGACATAACCAGGACTGGGCAATTTATAAAGAAAAAGAGGTTTAGTGGACTCACAGTTCCACATCGCTGGGGAGGCCTGACAATCATGGCAGAAGGTGAAAGGTACATCTTTCATGGCAGCAGACAAGAGAGAGTGGAACCCAGACGAAAGGGGTTTCCCCTTATCAAACCATCACATCTCCCATCACATCTCCTGTGACTTATTCACCACCATGAAAACATTATGGGGGAAACCGCCCCCATGATTCAGTGATCTCCCACTGGGTCCCTCCCACAACATGTGGGAATTATGGGAGCTACAATTCAAGATGAGATTTGGGTGGGGACATGGCCAAACCATTTCAGTGGTCCAAAGTAGAAATCATGGGCTCCCTAGGGATTGATGTTTGGGACAATTTTATTTGACACCTTTTAAAATTCTCTCTGGGTCAAGGTGCATATTTATTTGGAAACATTCTGTATAGTAAAATGTTTAAACTAAAAGGATAACTGAATCAAGTATAGTGACAGAGAAGTGAAGGTGATCTTGAGTCAGTCCCATGGAGGCCATGCCCCCCTGTTCGGTGACCGGCTGTCAGGAGGACTTCCCAGCATGTTCCCTTGTCCTTGGGATCAGTGTGTATAATATTTAGGAAAATCCTCAACTGCATTTCGGACTAAGTTAAACAAACTGAATTATTATGGAATTGGGAAGCGTCTAGATACAGAATGCAAAAGAAGAGAGTAGAAATGAAGGATCATTATCCTGGTGGAGACCCTCCTTGCCTACACAGCCATGTTTCAGGCATATGATAGACACTTATGAAATATACATCAGAAAACTAGAGGGAGCATGGGAAGCAGGGAAAAGGAGAAAAACAAAGAGAGGTTCTGGAGACAAAGAGTTTAACGATTTGGTTCCTGTCTTGGGAATCTGAAAATCAAGGAGAAGGACTTGCTGGCGAACGGGTGGCTGCGACAAGACTGGCAATTTGCATCCTCTTTTGAAAACATAGCCTCTTCCAGTGACCAAGGATATTTCAGACAAAATCAGACAAAATCAAATCTCTTCTACTTTTTAGAACATTTTTAAAATTTTCTTTATTTTTAGAGATGGGGTTTCACCATGTTGGTCAGGCTGGTCTTGAACTCCTGAGCTCAAGTGATGCACCCTCCTCAGACTCCCAAAGAATTGAGATTACAGGCATGAGTCATTGCGCCCAGCCTTCTCTTCCACTTTTGAGCAAATACAGTTCCTGTACCTATTGGAAGTGCAAACGTGATTCCTGTTAATTTACCTTGAAGATGCAAAGAAACCAAGGAGTCCTAAAATGTCGGGGTGCTTAGAAACAGAGGAGAGAAAATGGAACTGAGTTTGAGTAGGTTGGAAGTCAGTTTAATTAGGAATAGTGAGGATGGGGTGAGTCACATTTATTCACTAAATCTCAGACCCCGGGACGGAATTTTGGAATAATCACAGTTTGTACAAAGCTGGTGGGGTTTCAAACACCCAGACATAGAGTTCCCGTCCAAAAGCAGCACAACATGGCCTTAGGTGCCGCTACAGAACGTGTAGTGGAACTTCTTTCCCCCATGGAGATTGCAATCTCAGCTCACAGGATTTTCAAGAGGAAAACAACGTGGTTTTTTTTTTATTCCTTCCAGGAAGAAAATCAAAGAACCTGAGCAGGAGAGTAAAGATTATTTCCCCTTCGACATGCAGGGGCAGCTACGAAGTAAGGACAGTAGCAACTGAGACTCCCATGACAAAGTTCTTAAAAAGTGTGAAATAGTTAATTTCACGGTAGGCTTTCCTCGTTCTTGGGTTAAACTTGGTGAGTTAACTGACTGATTAGTTAATGTAGACCTTCGCTCATATGCCGGCACTATTCTCTCTAGGCTTCCCCCAAGATCCTCAAATAGAACCTCTAAGAAAAGCTTTCAGAATGAGTGGGAGAAACAGCTGAACACCTTGCCACCGTATTCGGTGGGGAATTGTGTCATTACACACAATTTTATTAAATTTGCTTTTCCCCCCACTTCCTTAATGTTCTTTTGCTCTAAGAAGGAGAGCCTGCAAAGTATAAAATTACTTTCGTTATTTTAGTTTATGAAGTTTAAAATTACAGTAAAAAAGGAAGCCATTCTTGAATGATTTGGCAAAGATTAGGCATTCTATAGTCCTAATAATTATATTTGGGTGTTCAATTAACTTTTTAACAATACCTTGCAATTCAAGTAGCAGATGGCAAAGAACCAAATTGCACACGTTATTTCATTTTTTATGAGTGAGAAATATTGGATCCTTTCAAACTCAAGTGGTTCATATTGATGGCTTTAATTATTTTAGGGCCTGGCTTGTTTTTCGCTGAACTGTACACATGGAATTTAAAATAACTTTGGAGCCACTGGAATATATTTATTTTCCACGGCTTTTTCGTTAAGACAATTGCTTTTTGTAGACAATGGCTTCTCTAGTTGATGGTATCTACCTTTTCCCAACTTAACTGGCTACTCTCATGCCATGTCAATAGTCCAACTGTTGGTGTTTTAAAACTGTATATGTTTTATCTTTAATCTCATTAAGTGATCCAATTCATCATGCTTGCTCTAATTCAGCCTCAATAATAAGTTGCAAAAAAACTGGAACAATGTTTCTTTTTGGCCCAAGCCTGTTAGATTTATTGGTGCAATTCATTCCTATAGATTATGATGTTAAAGTGTACGTTAGTATGGAGGCTATTATGTAGATAGTTCTTTGTTTATATGTAGGCACAATACAAAGCAGGTTTTTAAAAATCACAGTTGGCTTCCTTCCTTTCTATATTTCACAGAATGCTACAATTTTTGTTCTACCCATGAGATGCCATGATGGTAGACTTCTAGGCACATGGGAAATATATCAAACACAAGATTATCTATAGAAAATAGGACTATAAACATTCAAAACTCATTAAGCATTAATTGAGGATCTAGAGGTTTTACCTAAGAAAAACATAATTTTTAGAAAAATATGGTAGAAATAGAGATCTATGGAAATAAAAATGCTGTACAAGATAATGTATATTAAGTACTAAGGTATAAATATTTTGGGTTCAAATGAGACAGGTTATAGGACATTAGAGCTAGCCAGAACTTTAAACTCACTCTTTTATTTTCCAGAGAGAAAACTGAGGTTCAGAGAGGTTGAGTTACTTGTCTAAGGTCGTTCAGCTTGTATGTGACACAGTCAAAGCTAGATCCAATGTCAGCCAACTCCCAGCCTGGGACTTCATGCAGCATGACTGCCCAGACATGGGATGTGGGTTGGGGTTTGAAGATCTGTGTTCAGGGCCTCCAGGTAGAGTTCTGCAGGCTGGGCTCTGTACTTCTCTAGGAGGTGTCATTTCCAAGGACTCTGAGGACCACCTGTATGAGTCCATTTCCAGACTGCTATGAAGAAAAGCCTGAGACTAGGTCATTAAAAAAGAAAAAGAGGTTTAACGGACTCACAGTTCCACATGGCTGGGGAGGCCTCACAGTCATGGCAGAAGGCGAAGGAAGAGCAAACGCACATCTTACATGGCGGCAGCCAAGAGAGCTTGTGCAGGGGAACTGCCCTTTACAAAACCATCAGATCTCGTGAGACTTATTTACTATCACGAGAACAGCATGGCAGAAGTTGAAAGGCATGTCTTACATGGGGGCAGATAAGAGAGAACGAAACCCAAGTGAAAGGGGTTTCCCCTTATAAAACCATCAGATCTCAGGAGACTTATTCACTACCATGAGAACTTTATGGGGTAAACCACCCCCATGATTCAATTACTTCCCATCAGGTCCCTCCCGCAACACTTGGGGATTATGGGAGCTACAATTCAAGATGAGATTTGGGTGGGGACACAGCCAAACCATATCACCACCCCTAGTGGGGAGACTCTCCAATTGAGGGTGGGATTTATACAGACAGAGAACATGATGGGCTGGCTTGCTGCCATGCTTTACCTCCCTCTGGCTCTCCTATTCTGTGGGATGGTTTTGTTTGTGCAGACCATCCTAGCCCAGGGCAACCTGAGGGATGATCTAGTCCCATCAGGACTGGTCACTTTGAGAATCTTTGGTGGTGTTAAAACCTGGACCAGAGCTTGAATACCGGCTTTACTGATGACTGTCTGTGTGGCCTCAGACAAGCTACTTACCCTCTCTGAGCTCAAAGATAATAGCAGCACCTACCTCACATGGCTGTTGAGAAAATTAAACAAGATCATGCTTTTAGAGCAATTACCAGAGTACCTGGTCCATAGTACATGTGGAATAAATATTCATCATTTCAACCATGAAGGTTCTGATGTACCCTGTATTTATTTATTTGTTTATTTATTTATTTATTTAGAGACAGGGTCTTTCTCTGTCACTCAGGCTGGAGTGTGGTGGCACAATCATAGCTCACTGCAGCCTGCAATTCCCAGGCTCAAGTGATCCTCCTGCCTCAGCCTCCTAAGGAGCTGGGACTCCAAGCACATACCAGGTGTGGTGACACCTGGTTAATTTTCAAATTTTTTGTAAAGATGGGATCTCACTACGTTGCCACAGCTGGTTTCAAACTCCTGGCCTCAAGAGATCCTCCTGCCTCAGCCTCCCAAAGTGCTGGGATTACAGGCGTGAGCCACTGCATCTGACCTATCCTACATTTCTGAACCCAGCATGTGGTTTGCCGTAAGTGACTTCTCCGAGGGCTTCACACCCTTGAGGGAAATCTACTCCACTTTCTTCTTCATGGCAGCAGAATTAAGGTCAGAGAAAAAAGATACAGCAAACATATACCTGGACCATCATGAAAAATGCATTCATAAGTAAACCATCCCAGCATCTCCTGCTCAGCCACCATAGGTGCTAAGCAGTTCATTCCAAAGGCATTAAGGTACTTACAGTTTCCAAATTTTGAAATCCCTTCCCTAAAAACAACTCACTTATTGCCCACAACAAGTATCAGTCATCCTCCTGGTCTCCTACTCTGGTTTCAAGACATCTTCATGCACATTAAGGATCTACTGTGTGTATATCGTTTTTTTCATGGTATCCAGCATCTAGAGTGGGAGAGCTGAGCTGGCAGCGGACATCACAGAGACTAAGGAGTTTTATTCGGTATCGGGGGAGTAGATCTGCTTTTCCATTAAGGGGGAAATGAGATCCCTGGATGCTAGGAGCTCACAGCAAACATCTGATCCACGCCTTTGTCCTCTGACAAGGTGGGGGTGGGGTGGAGGTCATTTAGATGAAGCTGAAAGGATAATGGGAGCTGTTCCACCTTTCCCTAGAAACAAAAGGTCTAAGCAGGCAAAGGCTAGTGATGTGCAACCTCTTGTCCTTCATATTCTCCCAAAGCATCTCCTCCCATGCTGCTCCTGCAGTCCTCAGTGCCACTGGATATCGGTGGTGGCCCCTTGTTAGTGGGGATCCCATAGGGAAGGTGAGGGGTGTGGTGCTGGGTAGAAGGGCACAGCTCACCTCCTCTCCCTGGGAGAAGAGATGCAATTTGGAGCTACCCTGGGACACTTTTTCTGCAGCCCCAACAAAGACTTACTGTTGGAAGGATCACAGGGGATGTCTGTCTGTACCCCAGGCATCATCTCAGAGCTCTGTGCTGCTTCATTACACCACACAGGTCTCCATCACAGAGAGAAACACCAGGCAGCCACTTCCCCAGTGCTGAGGCATCACTGAGAGATAATCAGGCTTTTAAGCCCTTCAAACTTAAATCTCTCTCATGGCAGCCCCTCTGCAACTTCCATTAGGAAATGGGTTTATAATGTGCTATAATGCATGACAGTTTTCACACTAATTTGAATCATTCTTGTGATTCTTACTTAACTGTTAGTTGCCAGCCTCAAACGCTTCGAGGACTTTGGAACGTTGAAATACATCACGATCCAGCCTGGCCTGTGGTAGACACACAATTATCATTTGCTCTGATGGGGATAGCAGGCTAAGCTGGAGGAGGACCCAAGATAAGTAGAATACAATCTTTGACCCTAAAGATCTTATCATGGCAGGAGAAAGGAGGATGGGATTTAAGAGAAATAGGAACTGGCTCTTGACAGATAGCACGCATGATACGGTTTGATTCCTATAGCAGTTCTGTAGAAATACCTGAACCTCTGTCTTCTGGTCCATGCAATAGTGATGCGTGCCTTAAGGAGCTATTTTGGAACACAGTAATTCAAAGCTTAGGCCCTCAAACCAGACCCACGTGACTTCAAACCCAGAATCTGCCTCTCACTGAATCAGGAACACTGAGCAAGCAGCCTCACTTTTCCAAGCTTTGGTTTTCTCCTACCTGTTCATTGGGGATTATGACAGTACCTGCCACATAGGGTTTTTGAGAGGATTAAGTGATTGACATGCTTAGAATAGAGCTAATACAGTGTAAGCTCTCAAAAAAATTAGCTAATAATGTTGTTTATATTCTCAAACATTATACATTAATTTATTTGACTAGTACTGTTATACCAGGGAAGTGAGATGGGGGGATAGGAACCTAGTTCTTCTAAACTAAAAATTTCATTTTCTTTCCCCCATAAGATAAAACTTCCTAAAAATTGAATATCTGGCTGAGCACGGTGGCTCACACCTGTAATCCCAGCACTTTGGGAAGCCAAGGCAGGCAGATCAGAAGGTCAGGATTTCGAGACCAGCCTGGTCAAGACGGTGAAACACCATCTCTACTAAAAATACAAAAAGTTAGCAGGACATGGTGGCATGCACCTGTAGTCCCAGCTACTTGGTAGGCTGAGGCAGAAGAATCACATGAACCCTGGAGACAGAGGTTGCAGTGAGCCAAGACTGTGTCACTGCACTCCAGCCTGGGTGACAGAGCAAGACTCCATCTCAAAAACAAACAAAGAAACAAACAACAAACAAAGACGGAAATCCACAGTCAAGGCCCACATGATACAGTGCGGCTATTGGAGATGCTTACGACTGACTCCTTAGGGGCCAGGACCCTGACTTGTCCATCTGTGGTCTTTAGCACCTACTCCTGGCTGGCACATATTAGGTGCTCAGTAAATGATACTGAAGGTCCATGCTGTGTGGTTGAGTTTGAGCAAATATAAGAAGGCAGGGTATTGCAGGGTATGTGTTCAGGGACCTCATTCCAGGACCTCTGGAATTCAGGGGTTATATTAGTTTGTTGCATGTTAGTCTGTTTGGGCTGCTGTAACAAAACACCATAAACTAAGTAGCTTATAAACAACAGGAATGTCTCCCAGTTCTGGGGCTGGGAAGTCCAAGACCAAGGCGCCAGCAGATTTGGTGCCTGGGTCTCACTTTCTGGTTCATAGATGGTACCTTGTCACTCCATCCTCACATGGTGAAATGGGCAAAAGACCTCCCTTGGGCCCATTTTACAAGAGGACTAATCACTTCCCAAAGGCCTTATCTCCTAATACCATCACTTTGGGAGTTAGGATTTCAATGGAATAATTTTGGGGAGATATAATCATTCAGGCTATAGCAGGCTGGCACAAAGTATCACAAGCTTGGTGGCTTCAAACAACAGAAATTTCTTCTCTCACTTTTCTGAAGTCCAGAAGTATGAAATTGAGATGCCTGCAGGGTTGGCTCCTCCTGGAATCCTTCCTTCTCTCTTTGTCACTCTCCTTGCCTTGTGGCCTCATCACTCCAATCTCTGCTTCCATCTTCACATGGCTTCCTCCTCTGTGTGTCTCTCCTGAGCCTTTTCTTTTGGGACAGGGTCTCACTCTGTCACCCAGGTTGGAGGGCAGTGGCATGATCACAGCTCACTGCAGCCACGACCTCCTGGGTTCAAGTGGTCCTCTCACCTCAGTCTCCTGGGATTAGCTGGGACTGCAGGCATGCACCACCATGTCCAGCTATTTTTTTTTTTTTTTTTTTGAGACAGTCTCGCTCTGTCGCCCAGGCTGGAGTGCAATGGCACAATCTCAGCTCACTGCAAGCTCCGCCTCCTGGGTTCACACCATTCTCCTGCCTCAGCCTCCCGAGTAATTGGGACTATAGGTGCCCACCACCATGCCCGGCTAATTTTTTGTATTTTTAGTAGAGACGGGGTTTCACCATGTTAGCCAGGATGGTCTTGATCTCCTGACCTCAAAGTGCTGGGATTACAGGCGTGAGCCACCATGCCCACCACTTTCCTTATGAGGACTCTTGTCATTGGATTTATGGCCCACCCTAATCCAAGATGATCACATCTTGAGGTGCTGGATTTAACTACATGTACAGATTTCTTTTTCCAAATATCAGCACTTTCACAAGAACCAGGTAGACATCTTTGGAGGGAGCCTATGCAATCTGCCACAGGAGTGTTAAAATGCCAGCGTGGATAGAGGCACCCAGAAATCCAATTATTTTGTCAAATAACTTGACAAAATTATCAAGTGTCAGGAGAAGAAAAGTGTCAGGAGAGACACACAGAGGAGGATGCCATGTGAAGACGGCAGCAGAGATATTGGAGTGATGAGGCCACAAGGCAAGGAAAGTGAGGAAGAGAAAAGGAAGGATTCCGGGAGGAATCCTTCAACCCTGCATTTACTGTGGCCTTGGAAATGGAACCATTCACAGATGGTGGGAAGGTATACAGTGCCTGACCTCTCCCACAGCCTCCCTACCACGGGCCTCCTATGAGAAGCTCACCCCTCCAGAGTGTCAAGAGGTTCCTGTTAAATACTGAAGACCACAGGAGAGTTTGGGAGGGGAAAAAGTTCAGGGAGCAACTTAGCGGCCTTTCAGTGCCCATCACCCTTTACTGTTTCATCAATATGGATCTTCCAAGGATCCGGGAATGGGAACCAGGCATGGGACAGATACAGGTGCATGAGAAGAGGCCAGAGTCCCAAACTGTGCCTTTCTTAGCCCTGCTCCAGGTCTCAGTCTCCCCTTCCTTGTAAAGGGAAAGCTCTGGGTTCAGGGGAGGCCAGAGGTCATCATGGCCTTGACATTCCAAGCCTGTAGGCAGGGGGTGAGTGGCCTACCAGGAGCACAGACAGCTGAGGTTGGGAGGGGTGGGGGAGTGAGTGGCCTTCCTTCAGCCCAGGTAGGAGGTTCGCAGAGTCCCCTCCTCCTTCCCCAAGGCAGGGCTCGCTAGAGTGAGCTTTGGGCAGTCTGGCTCTTGGGACTAACTAGGATGTCACCCCCTGCAGCATCCACGCGGTAGATAACATGAGAGCATATGAGTAAGGCGGGAGTGGGTGAGTGTGCTAATGACATTTTCTGTGACAGAGAGGACAGCCCTCCCCAGAGACCTGGGGGAGCCCAGGGCCATTGGCACCCTGAACAACACACTTTATCCCTCAGCAGTTACATCCAGAACTCTGGCCTACAATAGCTTCAAGGCAGCATGTAGGATTTAAGCAATAACTTTGGTTTTTGTTTTCTGCTTGGTTTCGTTTGTTTCTTTTGAGGCTGGGTCTGGCTCTGTTGCTCAGGCTGGAGGCCAGTAGTGTGATCATAGCTCACTACAACCTCCATCTACTGGGCTCAGGCCATCCTTCACCTCAGCCTCTCAAGTAGCCGGGAGAACAGGCGCACACCACCATGCCTGACTAAGTTTTGCATTTTCTGTAGAGATGAAGTCTCACTGTGTTGCCCTGGTCTTGAACTCCTAAGTTCAAGCGATCCCCTGGCCTCAGCCTCCCAAAGTGCTAGGATTACAGGTGTGAGTTACTGCGCCCAGCCAACAATTTTGTTTCATTATATTAAGGTGAGGTTTATACTGACTTCTTCTGATTACAGAAGTAATGTATGCTTATTGTATAACACTGAAAATGTAAACAGTATAAAGAGGGAAATAAAAAAGTATATAAAAAACACTAGTAACCCCACTGCCTACTAATACATTGTGTGTTGCTTCCTAATCTTCCTTCTCCTTCCCTCCGTGTGTGTGTGTGTGTGTGTGTGTGTGTGTGTGGTTACCTAGGATGATTAGCTGACATTTATAGCTGTCCTGCTAGTGTTGAGCATTCTGCTAAGCAATTGATGAGGTGTATTTTCTTTAACTCTTGCAGAAAACCTTAAAAGGGGAAGGACAATGTAATTAATACATTTTACAGACAAAAAGACTGGGGCCTGTGTTAAAGTCACATTTTATACACAGGGTTATATTGTACTATAGACCAGGGGGTCCCCAGCCCCTGGGCCATGGACTGGTTCCAGTCCATGATTCTCCCACTGATTCTGCCTGATAGTGAGTTGTAGAATTATTTAATTATATATTACAATGTAATAATAACAGAAATTAAGTGCACAATAAATGTAATGCGCTTGAATCATCCCGAAACCATCACCCCACCCCCATCCGTGGAAAAATTGTCTTTCATGAAACCAGTCCCTGGTGCCAAAAAGATTGGGGACCACTGATATAGACACTTAACATAATAATATGAGCATCTTTTGTAGTATTAATTGTTCTTCTAAAACATGACCTGGAAAGTTTGTATGACATTCCAGAACACTCTGGAATGTTGTTTATAAATATGTTGCTTATCTAACCATTTCCCTCTTTGGAACATTTCAGGTCTTCTCTTCAGCTTGGGAGAATTATAAATAATACTGTGATGACCATCCTTGGGCAGAAGTCTTCGTAGGCCAGCTCCCTAATAGTAGAGGTATTAGGTCCAAGATTACAAATTATTTTAAGGTCACTGATTGGTCTGGATGAAATTACTTCCAGAGATATTGTAGCATTTTGCATTCCAATCAGTGGGGCATGAGCCTGTGGATCTCACCTTTAGGATTTTATGCAATTAAAAAAATATTTTGTTTCTCTGTCTCTCTTTTTTTTTTTTGAGATAGCGTCTCACTCTGTCATCCAGGCTGCTGGAGTGTAGTGGCGCGATCTCAGCTCACTGCAACCTCTGACTCCCAAGTTCAAGTGATTCTCGAGCCTCAGCCTTCCGAGTAGCTGGGATTACAGGAGCATGCCACCACGCCCGGCTAATTTTTTTTTGTATTTATTTTTTAGTAAAAATGGGGTTTCGCCGTGTTGCCCAGGCTGGTCATGAACTCCTGACCTCAAGTGATCCTCCTGCCTCGGCCTCCCAAAGTGTTGGGATTACAGGCGTGAGCCACTGAGCCCAGTCTTTCTCTTTTTAAAGATTAGGTTTTAATATGGAACATTTGTGTCTACAAATAAGAGATAGTGACAAGAAATAAAGAATAAAAGGAACCACAGGACAGAAAGTAGATGAAGATATTGAAATTCAAACCACAGGCCTCTGGCATGGAGAAGACAGCTGCAATTGCGTTTTTTTGTTTTAACCTATAGGTGGTAGATTCTTCTTTTAATTAGTTTTTCCCCCAACTTAAGTGCTGACTGGGTTGTCAGTTTGTTGCTGGGATGGAAAGAAGAAAAGTGCGCCTTGTGTTGAGAGGGTTATGAGAGCCTTGTGTGTCCTTGTGGTTATGTGGCGTCTCTTAGATTATTCTGAATATTGAGCTTTGAAAATAACCTAACGACCAATCAATTGCTGGGTTTCCATTACCAGTGGCAGGACACACTGTCCATCACACAGTGAGGCAGACTGGTCACTGACAAGGGGGCTGGCCCATGGGAAAACTAGCAGAGAGCCAGCTTTTCTGTCTGAATCCGCTCCCTCCAGAATATGCCATAAATCCTGGAAAGAAATAAGAGTCTCAAGAAATGAGGCTCATACCACGACGAGAAGGGGACCTTGAGAGGCTACTTTAAAGAGTAGGCAGGTAAGTCTCCTTTTACATCCCAAATCAAGCAGAGGCCTGGAGGCCTGCAAGAGTAAACATAATTCCCTTTTTTTTTTTTTTTTTTTTTTTGAGACAGAGTCTCGCTCTGTCGCCCAGGCTGGAGTGCAGTGGTGCATTCTCACCTCTCTGCAGTCTCCACCTCGCAGCTTCAAGTGATTCTCCCACCTCAGCCTCCTGAGTAGCTGGGACTACAGGTGCCTGCCACCACACCCAGCTAATTTTTGTATTTTTTGTAGAGACAGGGTGTCACCAAGTTGATCAGGCTGGTCTTGAACTCCTGGCCTCAAGTGATCCACCCACCTCGGCCTCCCAAAGTGCTGAGATTACAGGCATAAGCCACCGCACCCGGCCCATAATTTCTACATAACCTGAGTCACCCCAGGGAATCCTGGTTTCTTAGTCCACTTTCACAGTAATATCAGAAGATCAGTAAGGAAGCTGGTTAGGCATCCTATCAGCATCAGAAAACTCCTAGGAATACACTTAAATGTGCATACTTGAAGCTGAGTTCTGTAATCCTCCCATGGCCGAGAGAACTTTCTATGATGATGGACATGTTCTGCATCTGTGTTGGCCAATTCAGTAGCCACCCAGCTACATGTGGCTATGGAGTAGTTGAAATGTGGCTAGTACCCTAAGTAGTTAAGTGTTAAATGTTGTTTTATTGGAATTAACTTTTAACTTAGTCGCCTGAGATTACAAAAAAATAGAATTTTTTTTCCTATGGCTAACGTTGTCAAAAGCCCAAATCTTGCTTTTAGGTAAGATTTTGGTTTACACTGTCTCAAAGAAGTATAGCAAAAAAAAAAAAAAAGAAAGAAAAGAAAAAAAAGATGATCAGGCAGAACTTTGGTAAGGAAGGGTTAAGGCAGAGACACGTGGGGTGGAGACAACAGCAGCGACTTTGAAATGCAACTTGTGTCTGTGTGGCTCTCCGGGCTCTGTTGGGGCATCGGTTCTTCTCCTTCCTGGTTAAAGCAGTTATTTTGGTGGTGCAGTGCTTTCGCGTTCAATAGGCTTGATTTTGCACACAGCTGGGTTATCTCGGGTATGAAAGCTCTCTGCTTAATCTTCTCGATTTCTCTCTGCTCCTTCCTGCTATGCAGATGTGAGGGAGATGCTTGAATCTCTCTCTCCAGGCTCCGATTAAGTATGACAGTTTCCGTGATGTGCCCACCTAGAGAAATAAGTGAATTGCTACTTTAGGAAGAAAAAGAGAGGGTCCTGCAAAAGGCAGCTAAGGGCCCCATGTGCTGTTTACCTTTCATATTCCTTGCTGAAGTGGGTCTGGATCTATTCATTTTGTAGTTGCGAGAAAAGGAATGAACCGTGACTATGGCAATTCACCGTGACGTGTGATAATTTAGTTTGCTATGAGTTTTCACTCTTAGGTAAAACCTAGTTATCCTAATTAATAATTAGTTATGGATGATATAGTAATTTTTTTTTTTTGACTGCGTCTCACTGTCATTCGGGCTGGAGTACAATGGCTGATCACAGTTCGGTGCAGCCTCAACCTCCCTGGGCTCAGTGATTCTCCTACCTCAGCTTCCCAAGTAGCTGGGATTATAGGCATGCACCATCATGTCTGGCTAATTTTTGTATTTTTTTATAAAGACAGGGTTTTGCCATGTTCAAGACCCAGGCTGGTCTTGAACTCTTGGGCTCAAGCAATCCTCCCACCTCGGCCTCCCAAAGTGTCAGGATTACAGGCATGAGCCACCACACCCAGCCTATAGTGATACCTCTAAGTGAGTCTCTCCTTTCTTCCTTTCGGTAATTTTTCAAAGCAACAGGCACCTGATTAAATAAGAAAGTTGACTAGCTTTTCTAATGCCTACTAATGAAGTGAAGAACTAAAGAACTTCTGTGATTTCAATGAAAGCCCTTCAGAGATGTTCCTGGGCTCTTGTTACTGACAATCTGTTGGGAACTGTGGGTCAAACTACGATAGACAAATAGATCTTGCTCCAGAGGAAGAACGATTGGCTGAGATAATACCTCAGGACAGCTGGAATAACTTTAGGCACAATTCAAATGAATGCTTTTCGAGGAGGAGCGTTTTAAAAGTCAAGGGAAGTTCTAATCGGATAGCAAGTCAGGATAGAGCATTCCCATTAGCATAATTCCCCTCCCAATAGATGCAGACATGGGAGAAAGGGGAAATTGCAAGTATTTCTAATGATGATGGGACACAGCCAGATGACAAGATGACAAACAAGGTGACCCCCGTGGGAAGCGCTTACTGATTCAAAAATTAAATAATGAAGGCTGTAAGAAAGTAAGGGCAAATTTAGCCGAGTTAATGTCTGTTCTTTAGGTTTATTAGAGAAGGGCAAAAGCCAGACACTTGACATTGTTATTGTTAATTAACTACCATTATCACCGCCTGCTTTCTAGTGTCTAGATACTTTCTGGAATCTAGTGTTATCTTCAGTCAAATGTTCATTGGATGTGCCCTGTCATGAGTGTGATATTGCAAAAACATTCTACATTAACCACTGCAAAACAGCGATGTAAATTTGGCTCACTCTAGGAGAGCCCATCTCTACCAAATGTTGAGATGGAAAATGGGGAAACGACGTTGTAGTCAGTTTCCTCTAGATCATGTCAAACATTCAAAGACTGATTATTTATTTAAAAAATCTATATATGCTGCAATAAAAATCTAAATTAAAAAAGTGAAGAAACAGGCAAAAGGACAGGAGAGGAGGCAGGCCAGTGAATGTGTAGTATACCACTGGATTTCTACACGGCCCTGGAGGTGTCAGACATAAACTTGAGTCTAAAATATTCAGCTTGTGGCCAGGCACGGTGGCTCACACCTGTAATCTCAGCACTTTGGGAGGCCAAGGTAGGTGGACCATTTGAACCCAGGAGTTGGAGACCACCCTAGGCAACATGGAAAAACCCTGTCTCTACGAAAAATACAAAATTAGCCAGGCTTGGTGGTGCCTGCCTTGTAGTCCCAGCTATTGTGGAGGCTGAAGTGGGAGGATCACTTGAGCCTGGGAGGTCAAGGTTACATTGAGCCATGATTGCACCGCTGAACTCCAGCCTGGGTGACAGAGAGAGATCTTGTTTCAAAAAAATAAAATGTTCAGCAGCCACTGCAAAGAGAGAACATCCAGTTATGTGATGTATAGTGACCCTAAAGTCAAAACTAACCAGGTGTAGCCAGTCGCGGTGGCTCATGCCTGTAATCCCAGCACTTTGGGAGGTTGAGGCAGGCAGATCACTTGAGGTCAGGAGTTCGAGACCAGCCTGGCCAATATGGTGAAACCCCGTCTCTACTAAAAATACAAAAATTAGCCGGGGGTGGTGCTGCTCACCTGTAATCCCCGTACTTGGGAGGTTGAGGCAGGAGAATCGCTTGAACCCAGGAGGCGCAGGTTGCAGTGAGCCGAGATAGCGCCACTGCACCCCAGCCTGGGCAACAGAGCGAGACTCCATCTCAAAAATAAATAAATAAGTAAATAAATAAATAACTAAAAACTAACCAGGTGTTTGAGATGAGGACCACTATTCCTATTCAGACCCTCCAAAGAGGCTTTTCTGTGTCTTTTCCCATCTGAGGGGATACCACCACCTTCTGTGTCATCACAAAGTCAGGCTGGGGCACAGACAGGAAGGCTTCTGCCTGGCTCTGCACTCCTGCCTGCCACTGTCTTGCAGCACACCACTGACTTAGTTTACCAGAATCCAATGGCTCTCCACGTGAATTTTTTTTTTTTTCTTGAGACGGATTCTTGCTCTGTGGCCCAGGTTGGAGTACAATGGCACGATCTCAGCTCACTGCAACCTCCCCCTCCCGGGTTCAAGCAATTCTCTTGCCTCAGCCTCCCGAGTAGCTGGGATTACAGGCACACACCACCATGCCCAGCTAATTTGTTTGTTTGTTTGTTTTTCAGTAGAGACGGCGTTTCACCATGTTGGCCAGGCTGGTCTCAAACTCCTGACCTTATGATCCAGCCGCCTCAGCCTCCCAAAGTGCTGGGATTACAGGCATGAGCCACCGCACCCAGCCTCCACGTGAATTTTAAAGACACGAAGGTCTTCCTTTATGGAATGGTTTGTGTGATCTGCCAGGAAGCAGCCCCCACAATAAAGTCATTTGCTACGTGTCCAGATAGGACCACAGCTCCAGAGAAGCATCAACCACAGGTCTCCCTGGCTTCTCAGAGAGGCATTTTGAAGGTTGGGTTTGGCAACAGCTGAAGCCAAGAGTAACAGCTTTCTCAGTTTAGAGAGGGGGTTCTCTCCTCTCAGACCACACTTTTATTTGCTGGACATTATGAAAAATAAATTATAAGGCAGAAAAGCGAATGGGAGAGGGAAGGCAATATTAGTACAACTCAGACACAGCTGTGTTTTTGTGAAAAGCGAGTCTGTATTATTTCCCCCCAAGTTATTCCTGCAGCAATACTTAGTAGTTCTCTTTGCAATGCCCCCAGAAGAGAATCCACTTCTCAGGCATTCCTAAGTATGTCAGTCAGGATCCAGTCAGGAGATGGAACCGACGCCAGTTATTCTAACCGGGAGAATTTGATATAAATCATTGCTAACTGGGTAACTTGAAAGGCAAAGAGAAGGGCAGCAGGGAATCAAAGAGGCCGCTGTTGCAGGAAGCAGCTACTCCAAGGACTGGCGAGCAAGAGGAGAGCTGGAATTATCAAAACGGAGAAGCTTGGAGGAAGATCCCCGTGAGCTGCAACTCAGACCTCTGGGGTCAGGGCTGCTGTCCGGTGCTGGTATCTCTGACCTGAGAGGAGGGGTCTGTGGGCCTGAACACTGAGCTCTGAGGAAAGGGCTCTGGCAGCTAGGGCTGGTGTCCAAGGAAGTAGGATGAAGCTGGCTCTGCCAGCACTGGAAAAATTGCTAGCTGGATTCAGCTGTTCCTGCAGCTGGCATTGCTGGAATGAAACGCTCCTGACAGGTAGGACCAGCCAGAATGGCTTCATGGGGACTGAACAGGAGGTAAACAGGAATAAATGAGCCCTCCAGCCTTGCAGTCTCCCTCCCACGCCCCCTACCGGCAGAACCTAGAAGAGACACTGGAGCCACGCTTCCCTGTAAGCTCAGCCCAAGCACCGGAAAAAAGCGCCTGGAAGGGCTGATTTGAAAAGGAAGAGCCATAGCTTGCCACTGGGACAGTGAACCACGCAGACTGTATGGAAGGTTCCAGAGAGAAGGCTGAGGAGGCTGAGGAGGCTGCTCACCCTGCACAGTGCTCAGCGTTTTATGATTCCTTTCCCTGCAAAATAAATCCCCATTGAACTTCTCTCCCTTAGTGTCTCTTCTCCACATCCCTGTCTGTAGCTCTCTTTCCTTTACAAAATGATATCACCTGAGGTCAGGAGTTCGAGATCAGCCTGGCCAACATGGTGAAACCCCATCTCTACTAAAAATACAAAAATTAGCCTTGCAAGGTGGGGGTGCCTGTGGTCCCAGCTACTCTGGAGACAGAGGTGGGAGAATCACTTGAACCTAGGAGGCGGAGGTTGCAGTGAGCTGAGATTGCACCACTGCACTCCAGCCTGGGTGTGACAGAGTGAGAGTCTGTCTCAAAAAAATAAGAAATTATATTAAACTATCAGGTGCTAATCTTCCAACCCTGAGTCCATCCCCATCAGTAAAAGTTGTGTCAGAGTAGATTTTAAATATTTTCAACACAAAAATATAAGGCCTGGCACAGTGGCTCATGCGTGTAATCCCAACACTGCGGGAAGCTGAGGCAGGAGGATCACTTGAGCCCAGGAGCTCATGGCTGTAGTGAGCTGTGATTGCACCACTGCACTGCACTCCAGCCTGGGCAACAGCAAGACCCTGTCTCCAAAAAAAAAAAAACAAAACAAATTAATAAATAAGCAAGGTGATGGATGTGTTAAGCTTGATGTAATCATTCCACAATGTAAACATATACCAAAATATCACATGTGCCCCATAAATATATAATATATGATTATTTGCCAACAAAAACATAATTTTTAAAATTTTAGTAAAATTTTTAAAATTATTCATGTCTTTCTTAAAGGTAGAGGAAATAATAAAGTACATATTATGTCAAAATTAATGTCTTTTATTCACATCAATATAAAAAAGAATGAAAGATTAAGATTAAAACTAAATATGATGAGATAAATTTAAATTTAGAAATTAAAAGGAATAAAAGGTAAATGTCTAAAATAACAGGCACGGTGGCACACACCTGTACTTCCAGCTGTTTGGGAGGCCAAGGCAGGTGGATCACCTGAGGTCGGGAGTTTGAGACCAGCCTGGCCAACATGGCAAAACCCTGTCTCTACTAAAAATACAAAAATTAGCCAGACGTGGTGGTGGGTGCCTATAATCCCAGCTACTTGGGAGGCTGAGACAGGAGAATTGCTTGAGCCCGGGAGGTGGAGATTGCAGTGAGTTGAGATTGAGCCCGGGAGGTGGAGATTGCAGTGAGTTGAGATTGAGCCCGGGAGGTGGAGATTGCAGTGAGTTGAGATCACGCCACTGCACTCCAGCCTGGGTGACAGAGTAAGACTCTGTCTCAAAACATAATAAATAAATAAATAAATAAATAAATAAATAAATAAATAAATAAAATAAGACACTTAAAAATCAAGCAGTAGAATTAATGCAAAATGATAAAGAATAAGTTACAAATAAGCATTAAAATGATAGCCAGAAAGCAAATGAGATTAAAACTTTTAAAAATGGAAACAACATAAAAATTTTAAAACCAACCAGTAACACTATAAAACCAGTAAAATTAAATTACTTTGCTTTTTGGATAAGAAAGGAAGAAATGGACTGGATAAGAAAGGATAATTAATTTTAAGAGAAAACACGGAAAGGTAAGATAGAAACAAGGAGCTTAAATGTAACCATAAATAATAATAATTATCATGTACTAAGCATTTAAAGATGAATGACAAGCCCTCTACTGAGTACTTTGAATGTAGTGTCTCATTTAAACCTCACAATAGCTCTGTAAGGCAGATGCTATTGTTATCTTCATATTTTATAGATGAGAAAACTGAGACTTAGAGCGGTCTCGCAGCTCATAAAATGCGGAGTTGGAATTTAACTCGGCCAGTTCTCTCTAGATGGAGAGCTGGAGTTTTGTAGGAAAGCTATAAGATAACGCACCGTGGATGGAGGAAGAGACAAATTCAAGGTAATCAGTACATGTGATGTCAATGAGATCCCAAAGTAATACTGAAATACTGATTTGTTCAACAAAACATATCTGTGATAAGAGGACAATGAGGGCAAAGTCAGAAAAGAGAGCAAGGAGGAAATGAGAGGAAACAAACTGCAAAACTCAAGGATCCAGGGAATCAGTCAAGTCTCCTGTGAAATTGGCTTGCTCCTCAAAGCCCTCACTTTCCCTGGGATGCAGCCTCCTGGCCCCCTGGACACTTCCTCTGCCTTTGCTTCCTCCTCCATGAAATTGCCTAGGCCCCTTCAGTAAACCTTGTTTCTATTCCGCCTGGCCAAGAACCATGTGCCGCTGCCTAGTAGCAATTGCATGGCAGTTGCCTCAACATCCCAGGTCTCTCCAGCCCGATGTCCCAATGAGGTCATGTGGGCGGGAACATCCCCATCACTCTCGCTCCAAGACTCTGTGCTGACACAAGGAACGCAGTCCTTGAGGAGATCTGTTCCTTAGTTATATCTGACAATCCCAAGTAAATGATCTATGAGCCCGAGCAGCTACTCCCCACTGGTATTGATTCCTTTGATTCGTGCCACCATCTCAGCTAATACGCTCTGGGAGAGTAGTTTGAAGGTCTGGGCAGGCCAGGAAACTGCAGGCATGTTTCCTACTAGGATGTGCTTTGCTGGATGGAGGATGAGCACTGGAAAGCACCACATTGGCCAGGTCTGTCCTGCGGACTCCCAGCTCACCAAAGAGCCAGAGCGGAAACTCCAGGCAAGCAGTTAGTGCTGGTATGACACATGGTCAGTGATGGTCAGTGATGAATAAGTAGAATATTCTGTCTCGTGGAAATTACTGTGGGATTTGTTTTTCAAGGGTTGCATAGATGATGTGCTCACTTTCTAGGATTTAATAATTATGGACAAACGTCTAGGCATTAGTGCGAAGTTGGCAATTTGAGTGCCAAAGTTTACATGTATGCTTGCATGTAGAACATGCAAGACAATTGAATGAAATAATAATTTAATAGTACAGTGGATTTGTCATAACTAGAGTGATCCTGGCCAGGCACGGTGGCTCACGCCTGTAATCCCAGCACTTTGGGAGGCAGAGGTGGGCGGATCACTTGGAGTCAGGAGTTCAAGTCCAGCCTGGTCAATGTGATGAAACCCCATCTCTGCTAAAAATACAAAAATTAGCTGGGCCTGATGGCGGACGCCTGTAATCCCAGCTACTCGGGAGGCTGAGGCAGGAGAATTGCTTGAACACGGGAGGAGGCTGCAGTGAGCTGAGATTGCACCACGAGCTAGACTCCATCTCAAAAAGTAAAATATAAAAAATAAAAAAACTAGAGTGATCGTATATCCTGCTTGTCCTGAACAATTTTGTTTTATGTGTTATACGCCAATATTATTATTCATATTGTCTCCTTTTGCCCTTAAAAGTTATCACGTGGTTCCCCTCGTCATAACACAATAAATGGGGTCCCGATTTGCCTGTATAAAATTGTATAAAATGTGGGGTTCCCTTATTGTGAGGTTAATGAATTGAACAACTGAGGTACCAGACCAGGGAGTTTCTGGGTTGAGCTGCTTGTCCCAGCCTTATTGTCGCGCCCCCTGGTGGCAGCTTTCTGAGCTGGCTTAAATATCCATCGGGATGTTTCTGGGTCTTCAGGCTGGCAGGGGTTTTGAGAACAGTGATAGCAATTCTAGGATTCACCCAATTCGTTGGTTTCCAATTCATGGAGACTGGCCTCAGACTATTGACATTGCATGGACCCTAGACAGGGTTGCCTGCCTTCCCCTGCCTGGCCTTGACCTCCCTTCTCTGTCATTCCTCCCCAGGGTAAGAAGTTTAGCCCAAACCATTTAGAGAACTACGACTGGACATAAAGATGGGAATGAATTGTCTAGCGCTTTATATTTGGATTCAAGCAATCACAGTTAACACTGGTAATCCCAATAATAGTTAACATTTATTGAATGATTTCTATGGGCTAGCAATTTACATTAAGAATGGCATTTCTAATCCAACACCAAACAATGTAAAGTACACTTTAGACTCTGTTGTAATAGATTTTTAGACAACCACATAGATGTCAGTGTTTATCCATATCTAGGAATTATGTAGAAAGTATTGTTTTGGTTTGGGCATTATTTTTGCTTAGAAATTATAAAAATATAAAAAGTATTTGTTTTTCTTGTGTAAAATCAAAGCCTTCAGGTTTTCATTTAAATTGAACATTAGCCTTTGATTTGAATAACTTATGCCCTTCAGGTGCCCTAAAGCTGTTGGATAACAGGAACATTTTAATGTTTTACAGCCTGTCTGGAACTCTTGCAGCTTGGGCTACTAGGTCCATGGGTGAAGGTCAGCCTGGCAGAGACTCTGGGATCAGTCCTTGGAGGGTGGGTCAAGTTTGAGTAGCTCAAGGTTGAGTTGAGCAGAATAGCTGGTCTTACCCAGCCTCAGCTCTCAGCCTTCTAGTAATGGGATTCCTGCCATATTTCCATGACTGCTGGTGCAAGGATGTGTGTGTGTGTGTGTGTGTGTGTATGTGTGTGCATGTGAGTATATATGTTTATGTGCACACCTGTGTGTTTATGGTCAAGCTGGAAGGGTTTTAGCATGGGAATCAGAATTTGTTTTTGCAGTCTCTGTCCATTTTAATTGACTTGCCTTATCTGGAAAAGCCTTTGTTCATGTCCTGCCTCCACTGATCTTTCTCAAAATCTCATGCAGAGACATAATAGCTGCTCTGTAAACATACTGAACAAAACTTTTCAGAGTGTCGTGAAGTCGTAAGGAACTACCAGGCTTAGATTCGTAGTTTGTATGTGTTCAATGTAAGTGAAGAACTGTGACAGGACATACAACAGGCACCTTCTCTATAACCTTTCCTGAGCTGTTTGCACGCAGGATGCCACAGTACACTGGATCCAAGGAGTTGCTACTATTAATTTTATCCTGGGCTCTGCCCTCAGAAAAGGAGCTGGTTTCATTTTGGTCTCTGAAGTCATGAATATTACCACCTTCCTGCTGGGAATCATGTAAGAAACTGATTAGCCCCAGCTTGATTCCCCCTGCAACGGGGGACGCCTGGAGAGCTCACTGCACGAAGAGTCAGACTTGATGTTCAAAACTGAGCAAGTTTATTTGTTATCCGAGGAGAGAATGGAATAAGTATGGGAACCTTAGGGAAATAATTTGTACAGGTAGTTTTCAGTCTCTAACTGCAGCCCGAGTTCCCTCTGCTATTTTCTGATGGCAACTGATTTTTTTTTTTTTTAATGAAAGAAAACACAGGGGAGACAATTTACTTTTGTCAGAAAGATATACTATCTCAGGCAGATGTGATTCCCTCCTAGGTATGGTTTTATTCTTTTTAAATTCCACCGAATTCCTAAAACAGATTCTGGAGCTTCGGTTTCTGGTTCTTGCCCCATTTCTAACTTACTGGATTATAACAGGTAATATCCTTAAACATGCTGAGCCTGTTTCCACTCAAGCAAAAATAAGAATTAGGACATCTAGCCTACATAAAAGGGAATGCCAAGGGAATCTGGTGGATTATTTTTGATGTTTGGGAGAAAGAAATAGCATCTACTACTACTACCAATTCTTATTGTTCTGTGTGAGCCTACCCTGAGAATAAGAATTGCTATTTCACTTTTAAGGAATGAAAGAAAAATGTAAGGAAACAGAGATGATGATTTAATACTTTGACCAATCTGAAATGAAATAGGGGCACTTCTCTTAAGACCTGGATATAGTTCATGATTTCAAGCTAACAGTATCTGAAAAATCAGCTAAGCTATTTTTCAAAGGGCATTTGGAAGAGAATAATATAATGTTATTAACAGATTAATAATGATTTTACATAAATGAATGTGATATAATATGATAATAATATAGATTAATAATACTATAAATAGAATAATATTTCTTAGAACCAAAAGAAGATTTTACGTGCTTTAAGGAGATAAAAGAGAGAGAACCATAAAATAAGAGATTCCAGAAAGTTTATCCTCTTGACATCTCAGAAATGAACATTTCCTGAAGCAGGAAGTAGGAATGCTCCTTGGTTTTTTGTTGTTGTTGTTGTTGTTGAGACAGAGTCTCGCTGTGTCGCCCAGGCGAGAGTGCAGTGGTGCGATCTCGGCTCACTGCAAGCTCCGCCTCCCGGGTTCCCGCCATTCTCCTGCCTCAGCCTCCCGAGTAGCTGGGACTATAGGTGCCTGCCACCACGCCCGGCTAATTTTTTGTATTTTTTAGTAGAGACGGGGTTTCACCGTGTTAGCCAGGATGGTCTCGATCTCCTGACTTCGTGATCCGCCCGCCTCGGCCTCTCAAAGTGCTGGGATTACAGGCCTGAACCACTGCACCCGGCCTCCTCCGTGTTTTTTAATACCCTTTCCCCACAATGCCAGCATAGTGCTGTGAGAAGTAGTAGGGCTGACGAGTGAATGAAGGAACGCAGAGATGGATGAGTCAAGGAAGGAATAAGTGAATGTTCTCACATCGCTAGAGGGCTTTGTTATTTGCTTTTACTTTTGTGGTTATAGAAGCTGATTGTAGGGAATTTGCAAAATGAAGATAAGTATAAAAATGAGAATTAAAATCACAGAGGAAACCCCCTGGGGTCTTCATTTGCAGGTTTGTGCTTTTGCCAACATGTATAGCTAGTTATGTAAATTTAATGCATGGAAATTCTGTGTCTTAAAGTCTGATCTTCATGGAATTAAAAAAGAAAGGGAATTTCCATAGTTTGTATGTATCAACTTTGAATCAGGAAAAATTCAGAGAAGCAGGGGACATGGGTTGGGATGGATCAGTGTTCACCACAGAACCTTTTAGGGACCAAGAAGTCTAGGAAAGGAGCAACGCATTTCCATCAACCTCATCAAACTAAGAAGTGTGCCAGTGTCTTAGCGAGAGGAGCCTGGAGTTGACATAGAACATCAAAGCAGTATCTCTAGGCATATGTATTTGTTATATAATATTATATATTATTTGTAGTTTTTTTTTTTTTAATTTGTAGACCAGCACTGCTGGTCCCTACTGCAACTTTTTGCTTGGTTTCCAGGCCATCTTTCATTGCTTATGAATATTTCTGGTCTCCTCTTTGCCCAACTAAATTGTATGTTCTTCAAAAACCATATGGGGTCTTGTTCTGAATTCATCCCTCTGTTTTTACATTCACTCTACAAGTTTCCATTGCACACTCTGTGTGTGTGTGTGTGTGGGTGGGTGGGTGGGTGTATGTATGTATGTGGTAAAACACCAAGAATTAAAAAGCAATGAAATGTGACATTTCCGTTTTCTGGAAGTTTGGTTTGTGATTAATAAGACAAGGTCTCTGGACCCGAAAGTGTTAAGTAAAAATATCAGCAAAGGCTCACTAATGCTTCCATTGCACAGTTCCTGATGTGAGGCACATCACTTGGTGCATTAGTCTCAGTTGATGGATTGATTAATTAAGAGGCAACCTATCAGGGAGAAAGCAAGGTAAAGTACTGTTCATTGGTTTACAGACAGTCTAATGTATTTAGAAATCATCAGGAGTAAGACTGTGTTCTTCCCAAGATCATGATTACCAGAAATCCCATTCAAACAAAAAATAAAATTAGCCATGGATGGCCCAGGGTAGAATTTCTGAAAACAGTATTTAACTTGACCTAGATATTGACAAGGATAACAGTGCAGTCCTTGATGTTGGAGTCAGCAAATACACGCTGTTACTCTTTATTTCTTTTTGTGGCATTACTGTCTGTGCAAATATATTTAGTTCATATTGCTATGTACACAGCAGTGACAACTGCACCCTATTGGTGTGATTAGAAATGCAACAGTGAATAAATAAATCATCCTTTGTGACCCCTGGAAGAAAAAGTTGATGCAAAAATGCTTAAAAACTCTTTGAAGGAATTCATTACGTTTTAGAATTCAGTAACCTAGAGGGGAGATGTTCATTCCTGGAAACTCACAGAATAAAATCACACCTTGGTAATACCATGTTCACTGATGTACTTGAGCTTATTGTATAATACTGTGGAGGGAACAAGAAGGCTCTTCTTTGGAGAGGTTTAAGGAGGAGATGAAAATACATAAGTCCAAGAGATCCTGAAGCTCTCTTAAGGAAAGAGGTTAAAAAAAGAAGGTTCTTAATACACATGAAGATTTGGAGAGGCTGATGCTGCAAGAATAAAAGGAATGTGGAGGAATTTATCTCACAACAGTGCACCACTGTAACAGGTTTCTTTTAGCAGAGTTTTGTTATGTGAATGTATATTTCCTGATATTTACACTTTCCCATTTTTGCTTCTAAGCTAATTAGGTTATAAGAGCTGTTACTCTAAACAAGTTAATCAATCTCTTTCAACATCTTCCAAATAAGATAAGCAAAACAGGTGTGTGTGGATACACACTGATATTCAAAATGGTCTGTGTATACAGCTACACAAAACCCAGTTAGCAATTCTTACAAAGAAAAAAGTGGAGAATTAGATATGTTATTCTCCATCCAAAAGAATGATTTCATATAAAGCCTAGAAAAGTCAGTGAATTGGAATTCCCTTGGATGATAAGGGGATGGTGACTTTCAGGGATAAAAACCACCAAGGAGGTAGCTGTGCACCTTTGGCTGGGGCTCAGAATTGTTGATTATTAGCAACTCTGGCTTAAAGTGTGGTCAGTTAAGACCAGTGGAGGTTAAAGCCTGGTTGAAATGTCAACCGGGGATGTGAAAAAGTGGTCTGGTGGAAGTGGAGACAGTGAGTGAGAAAATAATTTTAATTATAGAATAAAGAAAAAACAGGAAGCAAGAATGAAGAAACATCTAGGAAAGTATAGAAAGAGTTGTAATCACTCATGAGGAGATGAAGCATTTGCCAGGAGAGAGAGAGAGAGAGAGAAAAAAAAAAAACAGCCAGTTGAGCTGAAAACTCCTATCTAAATATGAAAGCAGGGAATATATTCTGAGGCTGGAAATATTCATCAATGTGTTAAATGTCACACATTCTAAAAATATGAGATAGATTTCAACGGCCCTATAGTTAAAGACTGATGATTGGAATATCGCTTTTATGATGCCATAGCAATTCACATGGTTCTTAAGTCTCCATAGCAACAGCCGATACTACTTTTTGTTCTCTTGTGTAGTCACATGATGCTGGATGCACTGCATAAACAGAGGGGAGCGGTCGATTGTATTTCTCAATTAGTGACAGAGAGACCAGGGGTCATGAGACAGGACTTTTATTGGGATTGGTCCTGGGTCTTGTAAACTATGGCTGTCCCTTGATATCCTTTCTCTTAGGAGCTGGCACTTCTACTGGCTGTTCACCTTTGACCCCATTAGCCTCTGCTTTCTCTCAACGACTGTTGTTTTATGAGTTGTGTGTCCATTTAGATAAAATTCTCTCAAAGCAGAAGACCCTTTCTGTTTGGGATTCCCAACTGAAACCATGCCCCAAAGAGTTAAAGAAGCCAATGGCTAACTTCTTGGGCTTAGAGGATAACACACATAAGAAAAGCAAAAACTTGCTGAAAAGCTGAAACTGAGACTATGCCCCCAAGAGTACAACCAGTAACTAACAAAAATTCTTGAGTGTGCAGGTTAACATATAAGACAAGAAACCTCTCACTGCGACACTAAAACTCTCTCCACCTGTGAGATAAAAGAACTGGCTAAAGTTGGTTGGAACCAATATGGCTGACTGGGGTCTGCACGGAACCAGCTTGCTGACCTCACAGCCTGAATTCCCACCCATGTTTCACACTAACTTCCTCCAAATTTGCACACAAAGCCCCAGGAGGCATCACGAATAGATAACTGCGCATGCCCAAGGACTTTCCAGACTTCCTGCTTCCTTCCATCAGTCACCTGCTTATCCCCAAATCCACCCCCTGAAACTTTTCCATTAAAAAATACTGCCTTGGAGCCAGCACAGATAGACAGATTTGAACTTGACTCCTGTCTCCTTGTGAGTAGACTTGCAATATAAAGCTTTTCTTTTCTCAAAAATCCAGTGTTGACAGATGCCGGGGCTCACGCCGGTAATCCCAGCACTTTGGGGGACCAAGGTGGAAGGATTGCTGGAGGCCAGGAATTTGAGGCCAGACTGGGCAACACAAGAAAACTCCAGCTCTACAAAAAATTTATTAGCCAGGTGTGATAGCATGTGCCTGTGGTCTCAAATACTTGGGAGGCAGAGGTGGTCTCAGCTACTCGGGAGGCAGGATCGCTAGAGCCTTGGAGACTGAGGCTGCAGTGAGCTATGATGGCACCACTGCACTCCAGCCTGGGCAACAGAGCAAGACCCTGACTCTAAAAAATGAACAAAAAACAAACAAACAGAAAACCCGGTGTCATAGTATCGGCTTCCAGCACATCCAGCAGTGAGCCCTTTTTTCTGGTAATACAGTTGTCTTGAAAATGGTAGAACTACCAACATGAGAGGGGTGGTCATTTGCTGTGAAGAAACTACTGTTTTCACTTCAGGATGAGCAACAAACTCGTCTGCTAGGGCGAGGGCATACTGTTGCATCAGAATCTGTTCCACAGTTTTTCTGTCTGTAAAATGGGAGTGATAACCAAAACCGTTTTCTTAGTCAAAGGGTAGTGTCTATGAGACATTTAGACAAGTTTTGTCAAATATATTTTGGAAAGTGGTGTACGTGTGGGGAGAACCTGATTTACTGCCTTAGGCTTATGTATTAGAGGTATCAAGGTGCTTCATGTTTTAGCCTAGAGTCAGAGAGCGCCCTATGAAGTTTGCAAGCATAATTAAGATAGATAGAAATCTCTCCTGAGCTCTCATTAAATTTATAAGGATTTTCCTACTGAGGCCGACTCAAATTCCCAACACTTTTGCCATTGTTCTCATTAATGAGCATCAGGCTGAGTTAAGATCTGTCTAAACTCACCTTGACATTGGCTGTTTTTCAGTGGCAGTCAGAAGTTTATGGGCTCTAGTCCTAAGTGATGACACTAACATCTGTTACCCTGACTGAATCAATTCCCTCTTTTTGTTTATTTTTTTCTTTATAGGAGAGGATATTTATACAAGAACAAAGAATGTTACTTGGTACAGAGAAGGCAGTCTGTAAATATTCATTATCTTCCTCCTCTTTTTTCTTTTTTGAAATGGAGTTTCACTCTTGTTGCCCAGGCTGGAGTGCAATGGTGCAATCTCAGCTCACTGCAACCTCCGCCTCCCAGGTTCTAGCAATTCTCCTGTCTCAGCCTCCCGAGTAGCTGGGATTACAGGTGCCCGCCACCACACCTGACTATTTTTTGTATTTTTAGTAGAGACCAGGTTTCATCATATTGGTCAGGCTGGTCTTGAACTCCTGACCTCAGGTGATCCACCCACCTCTGCCTCCCAAAGTGCTGGGATTACAGGCGTGAGCAACCGCGCCGGGCCCATTCTCTTCCTCCTCTTACCCCTTTTTCCACCTCAAATTCTTGCATTTCTGGCATTTTGCTATTGGGATTTCAAAGGTTTGCCAATGATGTAGGCATGTTTGGAGCTAAGGGTGACATCGTAGCAATGCTGCAGCATCATCACTGACGCGAGATGTTAAGCTCTCACTGTCTATAGGACACCATACACAGAGGTGGAAATACACAGCCATGAGACCTTGTGCTTGAGGGTTAAAATACAGATCAGGGTTAAAAGATAACAGCACAAGGTAACTTAAGCTAAATGTCAAACAGGCAGTGAAGACAAACAGAGGTGAGCTGGGTTGCTCAGGGAAAGCTTCCCAGAAAGGAGTTGTTTTGGGCGGGATTTTGTTTGGTTTTGTTTTTGAGACAAAACCTCGCTCCGTTGCCCAGACTGGAGGTCAGTGCTGCAATCACCGCTCATTGCTGCCTTAACCTCCCAGGCTCAGGCGATCCTCCCACCCCAGCCTCCCAAGTTACTGGGACCACAGGCGCATGCCACTGGTGCTCAGCTAATTTTTTGATTTTTCGTAGGGACGGGGTCTCACTATGTTGCCCAGGTTTGTCTCAAACTCCTGGGCTTAAGTGAGCCTTCCACCTCAGCCTCTCAAAGTCTGAGCTACTGTGCGCAGCCAAGGAAAGGAGTTGATGAGGACTTTGAAGAAAGCTAATGTCTATTGAGGGCTTATTAAGTAATGGACATTGGGTCTTGGCCTGCTTTATCTCTTTGATTAAAGTTTGGATTCTGGAAAAGGACCTAAAGGTAGAAAGGTGGGACTGATTGAAGAGGGAATGATTGGATAATGAGTTTGGCAGGCGGGAGGCAAATAGGAAAGGAGACGGCACATGATTCTAAAAGCCAAAGTGAAGAGCTTGTATAATGAGAAGCTATTATACATTTTCAATAGGGAGTGCTATGTGCCCAATTGTAGGATTTCAGTGGGAAGCATTCAAGTCTGAGAAAAGCAACCAAACCACACAAAGAGCCCAGGCAGCAAGCAGGTCATGGGTCCTTGGCACAGGGGGAGAGGCAGGCGTCCAGAAAGGTTGACTTGAGAATCCAGTCATTTTTTATTTGATTCCAGGCATTTTGTGGAAAAGGTCCAGTAAGTAATGAAATAAGTCATTTTTACATGAAAAACAAAAGGCTGACCAGAAGAAAGATTAGCATCAAGGACAGCACCTGGAGAGTCTAAGGAAGGAGCTCCTTTGGGGGAAAGGAGGTTAGAGTTTTAAGTGTATTCAGCATGGAGAGGCTACAAGGAGGTGGAGATACCTTCCCAATAGGACACTAGAGATGGGAAAATTGTATTGTGGGAGCTGCCTGAATGCATTCCATCGTCATCTCCCGGGAAAACTGGGAACCCCACTGTCCCAAGGCCCATAAAGCTAATGGCATGTTTTATGTCTCTGTTTTACATCTTTATTTCCCCCTAGTGAAATATGGAATCAAAGAAAACCAAATTTCCCAAGTCTACTTCTAACCCCCAAAATAAATATTTTACCAAGTATTTATTGAGTTCCTTCTCTGTGACAGCATTCTGCTCATTGCTGCCTTAACCTCCCAGGCTCAGGCGATCCTCCCACCCCAGCCTCCCAAGTTGCTGGGACCACAGGCGCATGCCACTGGTGCTCAGCTTATTTTTTGATTTTTCGTAGGGACGGGGTCTCACTATGTTGCCCTCCCAGCCACTGTATCTGGCTGATCTTTTTCTATGTCAATTTGGGGGTAAATGGAGAAAGGCATGGGATATAGGTCGAAGCAAATGTCCATGGAGCGTTCTCTAAGTCAGTCATTCCACGATAATGGCTCTGTTCCTTTATTTACAAAGGACATATATAGCCAACAGTATGTTGAAAAAGAAAGAACATCAGATTAGCAAGGTTGAGGACTTCTGTAATCTTAGGAAAGTAACCGAACTCTCTGGGACTCAATTTACTTATCTGTGAAATGATGGACTAGTTGATACACAATTTGACTGTAATATCCTATGATCTGATATCATGGAGTTAGGCTCATAATGCCTTTAAGAAATCACATCATTGCTTTTATAGAATGCAAGCTGTTTCTTGTTATAAGGAAGAGTGTCGCCCTCCCTCCCTCCCTCCCTCCCTTCCTTCTTTCCTTCCTTCCTTCTTTCCTTCTTTCCTTTGAGACAGAGCCTTGCTCTGTCACCCAAACGAGAGTACAAAGGCATGATCACAACTCACTGCTTCCCCAAACTCCTGGGCTCAGGCAATCTTCTTGCCTTAACCTGATTAGTAGCTAGGAATGTGCACCGCCACACCTGACTAATTATGTTTTTTTTTTTTTGCAGAGACGAGGTCTCAGTATGTTGCCCAGGCTGGTCTCAAAACTCCTGGGCTCAAGCAGTCTTCCCTCCCTGGCCTCCCAAAGTGCTGTGATTATAGGCATGAACCACCATACTGGTCAGAGAAGGGTATTCCTTAAGGGTACAACTTGTGTCCAAGGCCACCCTGAACAGTCAAAGCTATGATCTTCTTTGCCAGTCTCCTGGGGATCCTGGGGCTGAGCGCAACATCTGCATCCTCAGAGGCTGATAACCCTCCCTTCTCTCATGAGGATATGAAGATAGGTAAGAAGGAAGAGGATGCATGGTCTAGTCCTTGGGTCACCTGAGACTGAACAGGAGAGAAGCAGGGTCCCTAGACCATCATGTTTGTCATGGAGCCAAAGGGTCACTGCCCAGTGTGCCAAGACTATGACACCAGGTTTGTGAGAAAAGCAAAGCTTTTATTGTTCCCAGGGAGACAGGAGTCCAGCTCAGATCTGTCTCCCTCTGCTGGCTTCAAGGGAGTAGTTTTATTAGAAGAGGTTTACGGGGTGGATTCTGGGATTAGTGGGTGATCGGTGGAAGGAAAGGGGAAACCTAGAAAGGTCTTGGCATGAGCAGTTATCTCTTCATGCCTCCTCATGGGTCGCATGTGCAAATTCAGGGGGCGTTAGTACGAAACGTGTGGTGGTAGTTCAGACTGTGACATCACAGGCTGGTTCTGTACAGGCTCTGGTTGGTCATATTGATTCCAACCAATTGTAGCCTGTTTTGTTATCCCATAAGAGGAGGGAGTTTTAGCATTTTGGCCAGTCTTTTTTTTTTTTTCTTTTTCTTTTTATCTGCGATTTTGTAAGCTCAATAAATTCTGTTAGTCATTGGTGTCTTTGTCTCTTTGGACGATGGTTTCCAGTGTCTCCTTTACGGGGGTAGGTCCCAGCCCGCACTTCTGCCCACTGCTGTGCTCCATCACCATGGACCCTGCACAGTTGATCCTCTGGCCTTGTGCTTTTCCTCTCACCTGATGCACATCATTCTGCTCCAGCTGCCATCTTTGCAGTTCCTGCCCAGTCTCTCTCTGCCCTGTTGCTGTTACCACTTTATCTCACTCTAACTCTATGGGAAACCTGGCCATGGCTGTCTCCACTGGGCCCTGCCCTGTCTACCCTATTCCGCCCAGGACTAGTCTGGATTGTACGTATCTGTTGCTTTGGCTGGTACTAGCCTGGTCTACTGCTGTTGCCATCCCTTCTCTCTAGAACTACTGAAGGTGCCACTGTTGAGCTGCTGCTATCCTCTCTTCTGCTCATCTGCACAGCTAACAACCGCCCCTGCAGCTCTCTGACCATGAAGTATATATCCCCTTTCTGTCTCTCTACCTGTTTCTCTTTCTTACAAGACGAGATTGAACCTTTAAATAGTCTTGCTTTATGTTTCAAGTTTCCATAGTTCTACAACAAACCTCCAAAAAATACTTGAAGTTAGAAAAATTACAAAATGTTGTAATGTTTTTTGTACTAATTTCTGCCACGACATCCTCATCTGTACTAGCTCTCCTTACGCTTAGGGTGGTAGATTTTTTCATGCACATTCTACAGATTTTAGGGTTTAGACACACAGATCTCTCACTATGGATATCTAGAACTAAATGAAAAAATGAAAGACTCTATCTCTACATCCTTCTGCTGGGATCTCTCAGGAAGCAAGAGTCTTATGCAAATAGTTTCCGGGCTTCTTGAAATAGACATGCAAATTAGAACCCACAGTGGCTTTGGGCTACACCACATTATACACATAACAGGAAAAGGAGGATGAAAGGTTCTTTCTGAGCTATATGCCTGGGAAAACCTGTTCAGACACAGACATTGGCAAAAGATGATCAGCATATGGAGGGGCCTTGGGTTGATTTAACAAAGAAAAAGTATCAAGGCCCAGGGACCTAGATTCAAAGCATTCCTTTCTCCTGGGTTTTGTTTTCTCTCATTCCGCGCTCTCTGATTGTGTAACTGTCTAAACAAATTCAGACATGAAAGGGAAACACCCTACACGACTTTAGCGGTCGCGTTTGTTTGTGCTCCATCGCAGTACCCACGCAGTTGTATCCGGGCAGGCCATGCACGAAGATGTGGTAAGGATATCTATCATTTCCTTAAAAAATAAAAAATAAATAAATAAGAAAATGCGCCTTTATTCTCCAAACTTCTCTTCTTTCATATCTGACTTATAGCCCATGAGCCACACATTTGGGCTACTTTGAAAGAAAGCTTAGGGGGATTGATTTCACTGAGAGGTAGAAACAGAAGCCATGCTCTGCCCGGCCTGGACGTGTGCTTCTGGGAACGTTCAGAGGCTCCTCAGGAGACGGGCACGGTGCCTTGTATAAAGCACTTCAGCCTTTGTTGAGCAAACAAATTCCCTTAAATTGGAACAACAACAAAAAATACCTTTTTTAACATTGGAGAAGTAGTAATTTCTCCATTTTTTTTAACATAATAGAATAGAAAGTTGGCTAAGAGAAGCTAGATAAATAACTGAGATTACTCAACAAGCTGGGTATAGAAAATGGGTTCAGTTGCAGTGGCTCACGCCTGTAATCCATCCCAGCACTTTGGGTCAGGAGTTCGAGACCAGCCTGGCCAACATGGTGAAACCCCATCTCTACTAAAAAAAAAAAAAAAATTAACCGGTTGTGGTGGTATGCACCTGTAATCCCAGCAACTCTGGAGGCTGAGGCAGGAGAATCGCTTGAACCCAGGAGGCAGAGTTTGCAGTGAGCCGAGATGGCACCACCGCGCTCCAGCCTGGGCAACAGAGAGTGAGACTCTCTCAAAAAAAAAAAAAAAAAAAAAAAAGAAAAGAAAAGAAAAACAAAAAAGGAAATGTGTTAAGATGTAAGCGCTTGGTGATCTACTTTTAGAAGGTCCAACTCCTTTCTCCAAACCATGACCAGGTAAAAACATGCTTGGAAACCATAGCAAAGTTTTCAAATTAAGCCTTTGTTTCTGGAGCTATTTTCCATATCTCATAATTTCTCTTTGTTCTTATGATTACTATGATGTTTAAAGTCAATACTGTTCACAAAGTTTGGTTTCTTAGGTTATGCTGAGGTACTGAGTCAGAAAAATCATGTCTTACTAAAATTGAGACAGAAATATTCTTCACACCTGATCAAAATGCCAACTTGGCTTTATGACCTCAGGCATGAGTGTCTCTGTTTATGAACATTTTTAAAAGACAGTAGTTTTGCTTTTAATGAACATATTTAGATACCATGGTTAAGATTCAATTTGCAAAATAGAGTGCATTTCCAGGTTTGGGAGTAAAAGATGCCCATCAATTTCATTATTTTGACACAGTGAGAAATTGAATCAAGCAATTACTTTCCTTTGTGCCTCAGGTTGAAGCTGGCCAAGGAAATTTAAGACACAGGAGTGATTTGAAAAAAAAAAAAGAAACAACTCCTTAGAGCTATGAAGATAATGCACATTGAGGCACATTTATTGTTTGAAAGGTCACATTGTAAACATAATTCCATTATTAGACAATCCCAGTACTGTTAAAGGGACCATCAAACACTCTGCAGGCATGGCCCATTCCAACTTGTAAAATTAGAATAACTTAGAAGAATGAGCTTTTATAACATAAAGGAATTTCCTGCAGATTTCTAAATAAATTAATGTGTAACTTTCCAAGACACCACTAATGATATAAAGTGAACTCTGTCTGCACATTATTTCATTCGTGCATGACACATAACTTTTCAAATAAAGTGAGGTGTAAATTCAATTTTAAATTAAGAAAAATCGAGTCTAAGACCATATAATCTGGAGATCACTTATCAGCACTCTGTAAACTTCAGTGTTCTTGTTTTTCTCTTCAAATATGTTACTGCCTAGCTCTATGCTTTTTCAGCATGGGTCAGTCTCTCTGTCTGAAGTCCTCCCTCACCTCCTACACATCTCCACCCCATCCTGCTTACGACAGCCCCACGCACCAACATCCTAACCTCCTCCAGATGGTCAAAGCCACCTTCAAGAATAGGATTTCCCTTGAAGCAGCCTAATCAACAATCCCAGGTGAAATGAGTACTTCTCCCAACGTTTGCTTCCACTTGAATTGTTCAACCCTCCTGCTAGTTCTCACTCAGTAGAATTCAGAAGGTTTCTGTGATTGTTACCTCTAATCCTTGGAGTTCTTAAATTTTTCAACAGCCTTCACCTGTACTCTTCACACTGGTAACCTCAGGGCAGAGCCCCCGGTCGAACCTGCCTTAAAGGAGGTTCTCAGCATATGTGTCCACCTTGAAGGAACCTAGGAACATCCCTGTACCAAGGAGTTCATGAGTTACTTTTAGGGTAGATGATGGGGGTCTCTTTCACACCCCTACCATGAAGGATAGGCCAATTAGAGAAAAAAAAAATTTTTGTCTTGTCAGACTTCTCTTGCTCTGTTGTCCAGGCTGGAGTGCAGTGGCAAGATCAGAGATCACTGCAGCCTCAAACTCCTGGGCTCAAACTCTCCTCCTGCCTTAGCCCTCCAAGTAGCTGAAACTATAGGCATGTGCCACCTTGCCTGGCTATTATTATTATTTTTTATTTTTTGTAGAGACAGTGTCTTCTTATGTTACCCAAGCTGGTCTTGAACTACTGGCCCCAAGCAATTTCATTGCCTGAGCCTCCGAAAGCACTGGGATTCCAGGCATGTGCTACTGCACCCTATCTCTCTCTCTTTTTAAAAACACAGCTTGAGAGTTCAAAGAAGTCTTAGAAGCAGAAACTGTGTCAACTCCCATCTCCATTGATCACTATCATTTTTGTCCCCTCCCCAGTCTAGGTTTGATAAACAATTATACGGCAGTTTGGTAGTAGTGTTGGGGTTGCCTCTTATAAAGAAAAAGCCACAAATAAACAAAGCTTTTGAAAGTGGTTTGTCCAAGTCGTGACAATCCTGAACATTTTGACAGAAATATCAAGAAAAGATGTAGTCCGGGTACCGTGGCTCACGTCTGTAATCCCAGCATGCACTTTGGGAGGCCGAGACGGGCAGATCACTCAAGTTCAGGAATTCAAGACCAGCCTGGTCAATATGGCAAAACCCCATCTCAACTAAAAGTACACAAATTAGCTGGGCATGTTGGTGCACATCTGTAGTCCCAGCTGCTGGGGAGGCTGAGGCAGGAGGATTGCTTGAGCTTAGGAAGCCGAGGTTGCAGTGAGCTGTGATTGTGCCCCTGCACTCCAGCCTGGACAACAGAGTGAGACCCTATCTCAAATAAAAAAAATTCATGGTAATCATTTCACAATGCGTACATATATCAGAACATAGTGTTTTATACCAGAAATATGTGCAATTTTTATTTGTCAAAAATTAAAATGTTTCCCTACATAATTTCTGTCGCACAATTCTTTAGTTTGGAGCTTGGAAATAACCCAACAAAAGCGGGAGGTAAAAATGCTACCCTGCATGCTAACTTTGCAGGAACATCCAACTGCTTCCCCTCTGTGACGACGGGAAGAAGGAGGCATTGCTTCCGCCCAGATGCCTGTCTCTCAGCTTTCTCCTTATCTGGGCTCCCAGAGGTCTTCTGAGCAAACACGGGGCAGCGATCTGGGGCTGCAGCAGCTGTCGGTTTTCTTCTCCCTCTTGACAAAAGTACTTAAACCACAAACCTTAAGGAAAAAAACAAAAAAAAGAAAAAAGTGGAAATACCTCTTTTCAAACACGGGAAAATAATGTCACTCTGCTCTTTAGATGTTTTCATAAAACATCGGGGCAGGTAGAGAACCATTTCCAGCTGAAGTGTTTATGATAATGAAGAAAAGCAGTTTTATTTTTCCCACTGTGAGACACTTTTTCGGAAAGGCAAGAACTGCTGAAGGGAAAAGTCTCCAAGGGCTAGATTCCAATTAACTTCTGTACCGATTGCTGATAACTTTAGGCAATTGCTGTTCTTTAGAAAATGGGGCAGAGTCTAAAAGATCATAAAGACGAGATGACTGATCAAGGCATAGAACCTCATACCGTGTTTTCCTCAGTGTGCCACAATTTTAAGGAATTGTAAATAAAATACAGTAGATCCTATACTTGACATTCAATAACATAGAAGTGCCGGAATGTGTGTCTTGGAGCTTAGACATTGATCTGGGGTCTGGAAAATAGTAATCATACAACCCATCACTGCGCATGGGTGAGCCACAGAAATGTGACAGCATTGGAAGAACTTGAAATTTTTGGAGTGAGAAAACCTGCGTTTGGAGTTCTAGTCAGCTCTGCTCCACAGTTTAGGAACTCTCATCTTGGATTAGGAATCGTATCCATTGGCTGCATAACAAATGCAATGCCTGGTGCCACACAGTAATAGGCATTGGTTTTTCAGAAGACTGTAGAGTTTTGCTGATGTAGGCTGGGCTCAGCTGATCTTGGCTAGTCTCACTCATTTGTGATTCTCTGGCTTGCTCGTAAGTCTGTAATGGAGGTTGGGTCTTCTGTTATCCTCCCGTTGGAATCAGCAGACTAGCGTGGGTGTATCTTTCCCATGCGCATTTCAAAATTCTGCTTGTACCGCCTTTGCTAGCCTTCTATCCATACTTGGGGAAAAAGAGAGGGTGGCAAAGTCACACAGCAAATTGCATGGATAACAAAATGTATGAATAATCAGGACCAAATGATGCTATCTACTACCATACTTAATGCTCTCAATCTCAGGTCATCATATGTTAAATGGGAATAATAATACACCTGTTAAAATTAAGTGAGATGACACTGAAGAGTATCTAGCTCAAGCCCTGGAACAAAGCTGATGCTCAATAAATATTACTCTTCTATTCACCTCTCCAATCTTATAAAATGAAAATGAATACCTGCCACATCTCATGGGATCATTGTGAGGTTTGTTTTTTGTTTGTTTGTTTTTTGGTTTTGTTTTTGTTTTGCTTTGTTTTTTTGATGGATTCTTGCTCTCTGTAGCCCAGGCTGGAGTGCAGTGGCACAATCTCAGCTCACCGCAACCTCCGCCTCCTGGATTCAAGCGATTCTCCTGCATCAGCCTCCTGAGTAGCTGGGACTATAGATGTGCACCACCATACCCAGCTAATTTGTATATTTTTAGTTGAGATGGGGTTTTGTCATATTGATCAGGCTGATCTTGAATTCCTGAACTCAAGTGATCTGCCTGCCTCGGCCTCCCAAAACGCTGGGATTACAGGCGTGAGCCACCGCGCCCGGCCCATTCTGAGGTTTTTAAAAAGGCAAACACATGTAAAAACAATTTGAAAGAATGTTAATCGCTATATAATTTTTGTATCGCAAGAACTTGTAGAATGTTTTCTCTTACCTAGACATGAATAAATTTAAGCACTTAATATTAAATCACAATTTTTATTGAGCACTTTAGTACATAGCAGGTGAAAATTTTCTCTGTGCTAGGTTCGGATATTTATATTATAAATGAAAGCAAATATGTGTGGCTGAGGAGGGTTGAGGCAGAGAGAAAAAGGGGGAAGGAGATTTGTCATGTTAGTTACATAACTCCTTCAGTGTTACCCAAGATATCTGGAACTGATCCAGGAAGAAGACCTTTTCTATCCATTATCATCCCAAAGCCTACAATTTGATGAAGATGTTTCTAAATAGTAAAGAGTGGTGAGCAGGTCACAGAGGGTAAAGCCTTCACGGTGCTTAGGTCACAATCTTCTCACCTTAATAAATCATCAACTCTTTATGAAGCAGGCAGTGCAATCCCAGATAATAAAACCTAATTGTTTGGCTAGCTATGATCCCCAGAGACTCTAAGGGGCCTAAATAAATTAACCTCAAAAATGGCAAAGATGTGGGGAAGAAAGGGTCAGTGTTTAAGCCCAAGAGATGGAAAACCTGAGCCTCCAACCATGGCCTACCCAACAGCCTTTGTGACGTTTACAAGTGCTCCTAGTCTAGAGAAGTTTATTATAAAGTTATTATTTCCCTCTCTTTTTTGACATCAAAATATGAAAGAAGGGTGGCTCAAAGGGCAAGGGCATTTGCTAAGAGAGGTTCCTTGGTGTGGGGAGTTTTCCTCTATAGGTGAGAAGTCCACCTACCACAAAGTAGAAATTCCTTAAGTCAGATTTCAGAGAAAACTCCCTTTCTCTTGTGGTGTAAACTTAATTAATATTTCACCAGTGTCTACATATTTGATATTTATTGACTTTTTTTTTTCTAAGTTTGGGTTAACCCCAGATGGTAAATTGCAAGCAGAGAGTGCCCTAATCCAAAGAAATCTGTGAGGCAAAAATGCAAATCGTTCTTGCTTCTGGATACTTTGGTAACATTGATCAATGTCAAGGGTGTTAGGGTGCCTAATGATCTGACAATTATTCTTCACGGACATTTATTGCCCAGGTTAAAATATTTTCTAATCCCCACCACCCTCTCTCTCTTCCTGCCCCCTTCACCCTGCAACAATTCAACCACTTCACACAAGACATAAAAGGTGCAGTCATCAGTATTTAAAGGACTTGGAAATCATAAGTGATAAATGGACTAATGTGCTCCATTTTGTAAATGTTTATCTTTGATAAACACAAGACTTTGTGCTTTTAAGTGTCTAACACAGAACCTGGCTTGAAGTGGATGTTCAATGAATATTGGTTTCCTGAATACATAAGTGAACGAGGTACTCAATGTAATAGCCTAATAGTCTAAAATAAAATACTTTCAAATGCTTACTTTGCAACCCCTGACTAATAAAGAACAGAAATTTAAAATGTACTTTTAAGTCTTTGTATGTCTTATGTTGGTGGGGATTATTTTTAATGAAGTAACACAAGGTGGAAATAGTACACCAGCAGTGGCTTCATTGAACTGAATGCTGTGTGGGTGAATTACTTAGCTGAAGCTTCTGCAGTATAGCAGTAAGAATAGTACTTCCCTCGTAGGGCAGGGGGTAAGGGAATTGTGTGAACTACTGCATGAAATCACTTAGCCCAGTGCCTGCCACCAGGTAAGCATTCAACAGCTATTGCCATTCTCATCTTTACCATCAACAGCAGCATCATCTCAGGAGCTAATTGATAGGTTCCAAGTCCTATTGATTCCAGAGGTTTCGTCAAGGACCTCTCAGACCATTATAAAAATATGGTGAACAACCCCAGGCTCCAGGGGCTAAATGGCTGGTGTGTAAACAACCAGAAAAGTTCTACCCTCCCTAAGTGGTGCACTTATACAGAATATTCCAAATTCCTTCCGAAAGTCCTTTCCTTTGACTCAGGAAAGCTATTCTGGTTCCAAAATCTATGGTTGGAGTTTTTCAGAAAACAACCGGCCTTAAACATGCAATCAGTCGAATTTTGTTTAACCTTGGCATAGTCCCCCCTCTGTTCTATCTACTTTAAACAAACCTTTAGGGAGATTGAGAGCCAGAGAGAGTACAGAGGGCCAGGAGGCAGCGGGGCAGGTAATCAATTGTACCAGAGATATATTTTTTTTAATATCAAGGATAAAACTCTTGAGAAGGGGACATGATTGGGGCCAGGCACAGTGGCTGACACCTATAATCCCAGCACTTTGGGAGGCCAAGGTTGGTGGATAATTTGTGGCCAGGTGTTCAAGACCAGCCCCGCCAACATAGCGAAACCCCATCTCTACTGAAAATACAAAAAAAATTAGCTGGGCATGGTGGAGGCTGAGGCACGGGAATCACTTGAATCCAGGAGGTAGAGATTGCAGTGAGCCAAGATCATGCCACTGCACTCCAGCCCGGGCAACAGAGCGATACTTTGTCTCAAAAAAAACAAAAACAAAAACAAACAAAAAGAAGGGTACATGATTGGAAATTCTGATGAGAGGGGTTTCTGAGTTTAGAAAGGGCACAAACAGTGCAAACCTGTTCATGAACCTTTACATGTCATGAACAGGGCAGAATGCTTCAGGAAAGAATTGTCGAAAGTAAAAAAGCAAATAATGGATGCAGCTTATTCTAGTTATTGAAGAATCCAAAGGGATGGAAGCTAAATGTAGCACATGGCATGGGCGATGTCTCAACAGTGAGTGGGATAACAAGTCGTTTTAATGGTTCAGGGCCAATAACCGGGGAGGATGAGGAACGGCATCTCTGTTTTGAGTAAACAAGAGTGATTTCCTTCCCTGACACTGAAAAATGAAACCTTTGGGGAGATAGAGGAAGGGTCTGGGGAAGAGGACAGAGAATAGAATTAAAGATGGAAGTAAGTCTGGGTGCAGTGGCTCATGCCTGTAATCCCATCACTTTGGGAGGCCGAGGGGGTGGATCGTGAGGTCAGGAGATTGAGACCATCCTGGCCAACATGGTGAAACGCCATCTCTACTAAAAATACAAAAATTAGCTGGGAGTGGTGGTGCGTGCCTATAATCCCAGCTACTCGGGAGGCTGAGGCAGAAGAATCACATGAACCTGGGAGGCGGAGATAGCAGTGAGCTGAGATTGCGCCATTGCACTCCAGCCTGGCCAACAGAGGGAGACTCCGTCTCAAAAAAAAAAAAAAAAAAAAAAAAAAGATGGAGGTGAAGGAATGAGATTCTCGTGGAGACATTTTGGTTTTTTATTTCCTAGGAGAAAGTTGATCATGGGTGTACAGTTAGGAGAAGTGTCACAAAGAGACTGGCACTAAACTGGAAATGGAAGTCACATCAGAAGGTTTGCAATCCCACAGAGAAACCCAAAAACATGGGGAGAGGTTGGTATGAATAATGCAATGATAGATGGAAGGGCTTGATGAGTTGGTTGAGTTTTGTATCAAACCTGCTATGAAATATAGGGCCTTGGAACAAGGACTTTGTCTACCCTATTCTCCACTGTATCATCAGAACAAGAACAGCTTCCAGCACATACTAGGTGCCTTACAACTATTTGTTGAATGACTACATGAATAGAAGAAAATATTAGGGATCCCTAAACACTACAATACAAAATAAGAAGTATTGTTTAAGTCAATACCCAAGAAATAAGGTCCAGAGTCCCCCAGAAATGGCAATAATCTTTTATATAAGGACAGCGAGTTGCACTCAATATGTTGGGTCTACAGATTTGTCAGGATGCTAAGACTCTGGTCAAAGGATGTACATGTCTGGTTAAGTGAGAATGAGGTTGCAGCCTGCAACTAAGGTGACGCAGAGAAAGAGTTAAGAATAGAAAATTGGACCCTGAGCAGCGGCTCACATCTGTAATCCCAACACTTTGAGAGGCTGAGGCGGAAGGATCTCTTGAGGCCAGGAGTTTGAGACCAGCCTGGGAAACATAGCAAGACCCTGTCTCCATAAAAAAATTAAAAATTAGTTGGGCATGGTGGTGCATGCCTACAGTCACAGATATTCAGGAGGCTGAGGCAGGAGGATCTCTTGAACCCAGTAGTTCAAGGCTGCAGTGAGCCATCATCATTGCACCACTGTACTGCAGCCTGAGCAACAGACAGACACCCTGTAAAAAAAAAAAAAAAAAAAAGGAAGCAAACTGGAGACTACGAAGGAGGTGATCAAGAGGTGATAGAGTTGGTGTAGATACTGAAGTTCTATTGGAATGCTGATGTGTGAACGGGAGGAGAAGAAGGATGTTAATTAGGGGTGAAAAGCATCAATGAAGGAAGAGGCAGGGGCCTGGGACCAGCCTGTGATTCCATCTGGAGGACAGAGTGGCTCGCCCTATCTTGGGGATGTCTTGTGAGTACAAGAATCACAGATGGAAAGAAGGGCAAGGGACAGGGGCATCTTCCTTAAATCACATTGATAGGTTCATGTATGGTGCACATGTGTCACATATATGATGCAAAAGGGGTCCTGGCCCCTTGGTGATGGCATAGATGTGTGTAGCCACATTTAAGGAGTCACCAGTTGAAGTAGAGATGTTGAATTATTCTCACAGAGAAAATTCCTCAAGCATAAAGAAGTTCAGAAAAATCTCATCTTTTCAACTGCATTATGCTCTGACCTAGGTCTTTGCCATTTTTCTTTCATTGTGTATTTTTTTCCAAGTGACCAGCAATGCTGAATGAAACAGTCAATCCTGATTTATTTGGACTCCTGGACAGTGTGCCCGTACGCGCGCGTCCACACACACACACACACACACACACACACACACACACACAGACACACACACACTTTTTTTTTTAATACTCAACTATTCAGGATCAGAGTCCATAAATCTGTTTTTGAAACTTTCTCTAAAAAGAGGCTACAGTTATGTGCCTCTAAACATCTGGCCAAACTGCAGAAGAACCCAGTTAACTATCCAGGTGTGAAATTCACAGTGGGCTGAACATGGGTATTTAGAAGTACTCCACGCAGTGGGATTTCTTTTTCAGCTTTCTGTACACAGACCAGAAAAGCAGCTCAGTAATGGTGTCAACTAGATCCATTCCTGTGGGAGTCCCACTTCTTAAGAGAGGAAGGAATGATGAACGAATGAATGAATGAATGAATGAATGAATGAACGAACAAACGCAACAGTGCTCTCAGCTCTGGAGAGAACAAGCTACAGAGCCCAAAGCGGCTGGATGCTCCGGCTCAGCCCCCCTCGCCTCCTGCCCTGGATGAGCTGCCCTGTGGGTTGTTACAGATCACTGTTCTTGGTTCAAATGCGTTACCTAAGACAGAGATCATTTGTCAAGTGAGCAGGGTACACAGAGAGCTGTAGGCAGATTATGGAAAGAGAGAGGGAGGAGAGAGAGGGAGGAGAGAGAGCGCGGGAGAGGGAGAAAGAGAGAGGGGACCAGGGCGAGGAGAGGAGCAGGCTTCTCCAGGAACGGCGCTTTGCAGGCGCTGGGGATTCAAGTTAGACCGGGTGGCGGTGCAGAGGCGCCACCCGGGAGAGGGGAGCCACCACGGCTCCCGACATGGCTCTTTTCATGTGGGATGCTTAAGCACGGCACACAGAGAGAGTAACTTGCAGGAGACAGAAACTGGCATGAGGATTCTGCCACCATGGAAGGGCTCCTGTCTCCGATGAGGACGAAGGTAAGGGGAGTGGATCTGGATTTCTTTTCCTTCTGCTTGGAGGGACAGAAAAGGCTCTGTGCATGGGAGGAGGCTCACGGAGCTTTTGTCTCATTTCAGAACTAGGCTGGCGATTGCAACTGGATCTCTCAAAGAATAGGCTTGCCTGCACGGCAGCGCGATCTGAGGGGAAGGGGAGAGCAGAGAGGGGAGCGAGCCATCTGTCAGCGTGGACAATGGGAACCTCAGTAAATGAGTTCGCCTCTCGGTTGATTAGACAGCCATATTTTAGCAGGATTTCCAGTCACTCTTGCTTTGGGGCCGTGCAGCCCTCGGAGCTGTTCGTTTGCAGGAAGTACCAATTTCTCAGATCGTATTGCTGTTTAGCAGGAGGAGTAACACGTTTAAGGCAAAGAGTGTGCCCAGCTCCCACTTGAAATAGCCTCTTTCCTCTTCCTCTTCCTCCTCCTCTTCTTCAGAGCAGGAGGACCAGGGAATCCTCTCTGTAGAAAGTAGGTTAATGCATTCTGGAGGCCAGTGTGTTCTCGGAAAAATAGCAGACCTGCAGAAAAGATTTCAGAGCACTGCTCTAGCCTGACATCTTGAACTTGGTCCTGTAACATTTAGAAATGCTCACGGGGAACTGGTTTTGGTCTCCTGAAGACTCTAAGCGCTTGTTCTTCTTGGCTGGAGTTTGCTTTTTCACTTTCAAGAGACGCTTTGAACGTGGGGTTTTCCATTATAAGCTCAGACGATGAAGGTGTTATTTGATATCTGCTATATTTACCTATAACTCTAAATGGATAGATCCAAAGTTTTCAATAATGCTAGAAATATTACTTTTCTTAACCAGAAATTTCAAAACAAATCAAGGGGCAAATAGATCTCTAAACACACAGCAGAGTTAAAGTCAATAGGACAAAGCTTTGATTTACCTCATCTCTTTGATGCCCTGTGTAATGATTTGGACACAAATAGACTCTTGTCATTGAACATTTTTTTTTCCTGCTGGTTAATGAGCCTGACCATGATATTTTCAGAGAATGTTAGAAGTAGGTCTTGTGCAGGAAGACACCCCATCCTTTGCGAGAATTTCCCATCTCTGTTATGTTCACCCATGTCTGAGAGTCATTCATTAGAAGGATAGCCTCAAGTGAGAGTTTGTTACAAAGGCTCTAACTCCAGCCCTTCTGCGGGCTGGCAGATCTTTGAGATCCCCTTGGTGACCCACTTGTTCTCACTGGGCATGTAGCTGGAATCCTGTTGCTTACAGGCAGTACACTTCAATCCAAGGTGCTGTTTCATGATCCCCTACCACAGCAAAGAAAATGGCAAATGACACTGGCATCCTAGCTCACTTGATTGACAGGATGAGGTTTGAATGCTTTGGGGAATGGCATCGTAATCTGTTCATTTGACCAGGTTTTCAAATTGCAAACTATCGCAGTATTGTGCAGTCTCTGGCGCCTAACAGATCTGTGGATCCGAGCTCCTAACCTCACGCGAGTACAACTCTCGTAGACTTCGAAGGGAGTTTCCTATGCAAATAATCAGGACCCAGGCTCTGCGTAAATCACACCATGAGCCGATTAAAATGGCATGCTATAGTCGGGGGAGAAATGGATGTCAGTGAGTCAGGCTGCTCACATATTATATTTATCAGTATCACTCACATCATGGCTTGTTCCTTGATCATCATATTGTCTAATAAACATGGAAACTGTGGGGTTCGGGTCCTACCAAAGTTTAAACATAAAATCTCTACATAGCAAATAGATTCTCATTCAAACCCTTCAGTTTTTAGGTTTCAAGGGATTTGTGTATGTGTATGTGTTTAAATTGCTTCTGTGAATTCTTTTTTAGTCTTTTTATTTCTAATGCTGGAAATGGATATTTCCATATTGAAAATTCAAACTGCATTTGAATTCAGTGACCTACAATATCATCATGACTGAGGGAACAAGACCTGACTGGGCAAGAGGAGAATCCCATTGGCAAGGCTTGGTTTTAAATCCTAAGTTGCCCTGTCCAAATGTTGTTGAAATTACCCAGCGATATTTTTAATTTATCCGAAGAGAAGACATATCCGTGACAAGGTGGTTGCCATACTTAAACTTTGATCACATTATGCCTCCTTAAGTCTGTTCTGAAATATTTTCTCCCTTTGGTGAGGATTTAGCTTGAAGTTTCTGATTTCCTGGTATGATGATAGGTCAGACAAAGGAAGCCTCCTAGAGCTAAATTTTGGCATGTTATGGTTATTCAATAACTTATGGACAGTTTAAAGCAAGCATTGAGGTAAATTGGACATCATGCAATAATTTCATTACACCATGTAATGGACTTAACCAGTCTAAATCATGGGTGCTTAATGCATTTTTATCTTGGGATTTGCATAATTGGCACATAAATATGCATGAGATTAACTGGAAATGGCAAAACAGGGTGAGAAACACAGTTCATGAGCATTGAAATTAAGGCAGTTGCAGAGAGGGCACCTGAACATACTCTGTCTCCTGGGTGGGCGGCCACACTTGACATACCTAGAAACAGACAGGGTGGCAGCTGGCCTCCCCTAATCACAGTTAGTGCATTGTCAGTGATACACAGCCATTGCACAGCTTTGGCTTTTGGCTGGATTCACTTGGGCACACTGCTTATTCTTCCTTTTATATATAATGCAATCTAAAGGAGTCTCTAGGCTGATGGATATATTTCTAACTGGCCTTCTGGCAGGCCCTGACACAGGTCTCAGGATTTCAACCATAGCAAATGATGTTTGCAGAGGCAGGGGTGAAAAAAGCAAGAAAAAAAGAGAGAGAGAGAAGGTGATTGAGTGGTTTCTTCTATGAGAGTAAAGGAAATCATTTTATAATCAATCATGTCCGTGAATTTTTTTAATGTGTCCTTTTAGTTAGATTTTTAATCCTCCAAACTTCATAATTCCATCTAATCTTCTGAGCCCTGCTTCTAGTGAATGAGGCTCGCAAAAAACAAACAAATAAACAAAAAAAAAAACTCCCCTCGTATTCAGCGTCTTGTGATTCATGGTGGCTGCAAAATTTGCAGGGAGCACTTTGGTAAGGCCACATGAAATCAGGCCAAGTCTTTACTTTTCATGACTGTAAGGAGTGTAATCTGAAGAAACTGTGGCATCAAAAGAAGGTGGAGAGGAAGGGAGGGGAAGAAAAGAGGAGAGGAGAGGACGGGGAGAAGAGGCCAGGGAAGAGAGGTAGGGGAGTGGAAGGGAGGGAAGATGGCTTGATTGGAGTTCTTTTCTTAAATATCCAAATAAGATTATAGCTATGTTTTTACCAAATGTTTGTGCGGTAAATAGAGAGTGGATGGAAATTAACCCTAGAAAGGATAGTTGTAACTTTTAAAAAGTTGATTAACTATTTCGTGTGCTAATTTGAGTTTTTCTGAATACTCCAATATGGTTTCCTTTAACACCTGCTCTCAGTTTACAATCACCTAACTTCCCAGCGTTGGTGTCTTTTTCTCTGTCTGACCCTGTCTTATTTCTCCTACAAAGACATATCCTGCGCTGTACTTCAGATACTTTTTTCGAGGAACATTTGTGATTTGTGGCATAAAGTAACTGTCTAAAGGAAATCTTCTGAGAGGATCTGGTCATTTTATGAAAGGGGCAATTAAGGGGAAATGGAAGCAGATCTTTTAAAGAAGGAGCATTTGAAATTAGCCCAGGAATCATGTCCGGCGAGTCCTGCTCTTTTGTACCTGGGCATAATAGTCAGCCACACAGAGCTAGAGTTAGTTCAAGAATTGTCTTTCCTGATCATGCTATATTTTTGGAAACACGTTAGATACAGAGGTAAGATGTCAAAATTCTGAAATACACACAATATAGGATCAAAAGGAAGAATAAAATATGTATAGTCAAAGCTCTATGGCTCCTTAGGGCAATTAGTATAGAGTATGTGAAACTCTTAAAGTCACTTAGAATTATTCGACATCTGCTTGAAACTTTGCCAGGATTCCATGGAGAATAGTGCCTGGAATGATCCACTGTGTTCCACCTTGCTTGTACATGAATTCAGATCAAGCACTGGAATTTCTCATGTAAAGAACTCTGTGAACCAGAAATCACTAAGGGTTAAGGAATGGTTAGCCTGAGTGGGATGACTGTGGAAGGCTTGACAATTACTTGCAAATACACTAAATATCACACACATGATTATGCCCAAGCCTATGACAGCCTATACTTTATCTTAATGGAGACTTGAATAAGAGGAGATTTGTTGGAGCTGAAGAATGACAGGTTTAGATTAAATTCAAGGAAATGTTTGCTGATATCAAAATGTTTTCCTAAGAAAGTGTGAGACAGTTTCTAATCTGAAGGGGCCTCTGAGATAGTGTTCCAAGAAAGGGCCACATACACAAAGTGACCCCCAAATACAGGAGGAGACAAGAAACCAAAGAACAAGGACAAAATCCAGTTTTTTTGGTAAAGGGTGATTTATCTGGGGAACTTACGGATGGAAGCATGGTCTTTGGCAGCAGAAAGACAGGGAGATCTCCATAATGTTATGTTACCCCCAGACCCAGGGCTTATCCACCATAGGAAAAGGGTGTGTGTGCTCTGGGCGGGACAACTAAAAGCAATCCTACAGAATAGGCAAGAATGCTATGCGTGTCACAGCCTATAATTTGTGTGATAACATCAAGATTGACATGTTCTTACACTAGGGATGGTAAATAAAGTAGGAACCAGGAGGCATTCACGGAATTGGGGCTAATCAGAAGTCGAAGTGGCAGATTAGCATCCAAGATGGAGTCACTTCATCTCGGAGTCACTCCTCAAATAGGCAAGGAATAATCTTACCTGAAAAGGGATTCTTCCACCTGAGAACCCAGGAGGAGCTGATGCAGACATTGTATATTTTTATGTTTAATTTTTCCATAAAGCCAATAAAACCAGAAATAGGTTTGAGTATGATGTACACATCAGATTCTCTTACAAAGAGCCACTATGATGCATTTATTAAACTACTGACCTCAGTTGGGTGCAAACAGGAAAAAACTTTATTCTTTTTCAGAACAACCCCCCTTCAAGGCATCTGTGAATTACGGGAAGACTGTTGAGGGCTACAGGACAGTTTATTTAGTTAATGAAAAGGAAATGTGAGAGGCACCATGGCTTATCCCCAGACAGACTACCTGCATTCAGATTCTAGCTCTGATACTTACTAGGGTGTACCTTTTTTGAGCCTCAGTTTTTTTCTGTATAACATGTATGCAGTAATAGGACTTATAGGTCATTTTGAGAAGTTAATACATTCATGTCTGACAGGTCTTGGCACGTCATAATAAATGTTAGCTATTACTAGTATGAATGTGTAAACAAATATGTGAATGAATATGTGAAGAAGTGCAAATCTCATGACCAATGCCTGGAATAAATTGTCATTGCCATGAATACAAGTGGGAATAGCAGATGACCTATCTTCTGGGTGATGCTTGCAAGATTCCTGGGAGGTCACAGTGCAAAACCCCTGTCAAGTGTGCTCAAAGAGGTCAGAGCGAAACAGATTCCTTTGAAGAGTAAATCAACTCTCATGACAATAAAGGCTTTCATGACAAATAATTTTGACAGGTGAATTGTTTAGAAGAAGAGACTGTGGATTCAGCAAATCCAAAAGGTATCCTGTCAATTAGAGAATAACAACTTTTCTTTCTTCCATGCTTCAGCTCTTACGAGGTTGGACACAGATGATCTCATGTGATCTTTATAGTAATTACAACCCAGAAATGAGCAAGCTGTGAATTAACCACTTCCACCCCAGAACCGGTTGTTAGTCATTTACCAGCACACCACTGCCTGGGACCCTCATGAGAAAGTCCAAGCGTCTCCTCTGGACTTCTAGGTTTTTCATGAGCTAGCCCTCACCCACCCATTCTGCCTCGTCTCTCTTCTGCATTAGAAGTTCAGGCTTCAGCTAGCCTTCCAATCACCTGAGATTGTGTTTAAAAGTGAAGAGTCTTGGTCCTCTCTTCCAGAAATCCCGACTCACTGAATCCAAGAACCATGCATTTGTGCCAAAAGGCTGGAGGACTCTGATGCAGGTGATCCTCCCACCACGTGTTGCAGAAACACTGCGTCTACCCTCTGTCTATCCACGGGGATGCCCTATAGCTCCCTGAGCCTGGCGTACTTCACACCTTCCAAATCTTACAGCGCGCTCTCCTCTCTGTGGGCATATCCTTTTCCATCCTGCCCTGTCTGTCTACCCTGCTGACTCTAAGGCCACCTTCATGTGGCAGCATGGATGCCACATCCTCTGGGAAATCTCTGAAGCCCCAGGATGGGGCTAGGTGTCCATCACATGCTCTGCCTACGTTGTTCCAAGCCTCCCTCACACTCTAAGCCCCCACGTATTTATCCATTGCCTTTTGCAATGGACTGTGAGCCTCTCCACTATATCGTGTTCTTATTTCTTCCTTTTCCTTTTTTTTTTTTTTTTTTTTTTTTTGAGAGACGGAGTCTTGCTCTGTCACCCAGGCTGGAATGCAGTGGCATGATCTCAGCTCACTGCAACTTCTGCCTCCTGACCTGAGTTCAAGCAATTCTTCAACCTCAGCCTCATGCATAGCTGGGATTATAAGTGTGCACCACCACACCCGGCTAATTTTTGCACTTTTAGTAGAGACAGGGTTTCCCCATGTTGGCCAGGCTGGTCTTGATCTCCCGACCTCAAGTGATCTGCCCACCTCACCCTCCCAAACTGCTGGGATTACAAGTGTGAGCCACTGTGCCTGGCCCTGTTCTTATGTCTTTATTTAACTTTATTGGCATATATATGACGTACTTATTTTCTGCGGAGAAATGATAATTTCATACTTTCATATAGTCAAATCAGTGTCACTGGGATATCCATCACCTTAAATACTTCTCTTTTTTTGAGCTCGGAACATTCTAATTATTCTCTTCTGGCTATTTTGGAATAGACTATCGATTCATGTTAACTATCATCACCCTGTTGATGTGTCAGACACCAGGGTTTATTTCTTCTAAGTGTGTATTTATCCCATTGTATGTTGTTCATCCTTTTAAGCCTAGTACATAGCATGGTACAGAAATATAGGGCCTTCATACATATTTATTGACTGAGTAAATGAACAAGGAGCACCCATAGGCTCTCTAAGGGCTCATGGGGTTTGATAAACTGGGCACGAAGGCCAAAGCAACTGGTTAGAACCAGGGTAGAACTATCTCCATGAAATAATATGGGCAAATTCCACAGAGTGAAGGCAATCAGGCAGAATATTTGGGGACAAGTAATGGGCAGGCCATTTCGTTGCCCTTTTCCTATCCTGTTCTTTGGGTGAGTAATAATAACCAGCATTGACTGACTGTTTGAATAGCTGCAGGTGTAAAGGGGGCTCTACCAGTGAAGATACCATAACTGGAGGTGAACATTGACTTTGGTTTGGGTTCATCTGCTATCCCTGACTTCCATTTGGAACTTTAGATTCCAAAATGTTTCAGTGACTTTACTTTTGTTGAAAAAGCAAATGATTATTTTCCAGATAAAACAAAGCTGTGCTGACTTTAGGCAAACAGGAAAAAAATGGTGACTTTATTTTCACTTACTTCCAGTGTATCTCCACAGAGAGAGTAAACTAGCTAGAAACAGTAAAACAAGTTAGTTTCTTGTATCATTATGAAACCATGTTAATCAATATTTGAAGTAATGACACATGAACAATAGTAATATATTAGTACAATATAATAATATATAAAGAATTGTTCTAATAGTCATAATGTATTGAAACTTAATATATTATAACATGTTTTAGTATATATTTATTCATATATTTATTAAACATGTTAATATATTATTTATATAACATTGGCATTGATTATACAGTATAGTATGTTAATAAAATATTGTTTTATATATTAGTTATCAAATATATATTTTTAAGATAATATTTTATTAGTAACTATAATAGTAATTGCCATTTATTGAGCATTTACTATGAAGACAGTTTTTTTTCTAACTTCAGATTCAGGGGGCACATGGATACGTTTGTTACAAGGGCTAGATTGCATGATGCTAAGGTTTGGGCTTCTGTTGATCCTGTCAATCAAATAGTGGACATAGGACCCAATAGAAAGATTTTCAGTCCTTGCCCCACCCTCTTCCTCCCCTCTTTTGGAGTCCCCAGTGTCTACTGTACCCATCTTTATGTCCATGAGTACTCAATGTTTATCTCCCACTTATAAGCGAGAACATGTGGTATTTGGTTTTCTCTTTCTGCATTAATTTGCTTAAGATAATGGGCTCCAGCTCCATCCATGTTGCTGCAAAGGACATGATTCATTCTTTTTATGGCTGTGTAGTATTCTATGGTGTATATGTACCACATTTTCTTTATCCAGTCGTTGTTGATGGGCAGCTGGTGATGCCATGCCTTTGCTATTGTGAATAGTGCTGTGATAAATAGAGAAATGTGTCTTTTCGGTAGAATGATTTCTTTTCCTTTGGGTATATGCTCAGTAATGGGATTGCTGGGTCGAATAGTAGTTCTATTTTTAGTTCTTTGAGAAATCTCCAAACTGCTTTAAACAGGGGTTGAACTAATACACTTTCCCACTAACAGTGTATAGGCATTCCATTTTTTCCCTCAACTTCACCAGCATCTGTTATGTTTTGGCTTCTTAGTTGTAACCATTCTGATTGGTATGGATGGCTATCGCTGTGGTTTTGGTTTGTGCTTCTCTGATGATCACTGACGCTGAGCATTTTTTCATATGCTTGTTGGTGGCTTTGTCTTCTTTTGAAAAATGTCTGTTCATGTCCTCTGCCCATTTCTTAATGAGGTTATTTGTTTTTGTTTTTATTTCCTTATTGATTTAAGTCCTTTATGGATTCTGGATATTAGTCCTTTTTCAGATGCATAGTTTGCAAATATTTTCTCCTATTCTATAGGTTGTCTATTTACTCTGTTGATAGTTTCTTTTGCTGTGCGGAAGCTCTACTATAAAGATAATTTTTTAGAAATATCTAATCCAGGGGTGTCCAATCTTTTGGGTTTCCTGGGCCACACTGGAAGGAGAATTGTCTTGGGCCACACATAAAATACACTAACATCAACAATAGGTGATGAGCAAAAGAGAAAAAAATGAAGGTCCATGCATAATCTCATGTTTTAAGAAAGTTGAAGAATTTGTGTTGGGCTGCATTCAAAGCCATCGTGGGTTGCAGGTTGGACAAACTTGACCTGATCCTTATAAGAATTTTGGAAAGCAGATATTTTTAACCTCATTTTATAGATGCAAAACCATGGCTCCAAGAGGTTGATTTCCTCAGATCTATGGAAATGGTGAGTGGAGAAATCAGGGCTTTGAACCTACCATTCACTGGCTCCATCTTCTTCCCAATACCACGTGCTCCCTGTTCCCAACGTAGAAATGAAGACTAGGGAGGAGAAGAGGCTGAGTCCCACCTCACCTTACTGTGCACCGGGAATCACGGGATGGGCTACCTTAGTGTTTAACCCACAAGTTCATGTATTTTTAACCATGCGAATCCTGAGACAGCTTGATACCTGAATAGCCTTACTGTAGACACCGCACAAACCAGCTTCCGGGTTGCCTGGGATGCAGGACCTGGGGCTCATTGCCAGCTACATGAGAGGAGAGCACAGGGACCCGGCACAGGGCTCAGGCATAGGCACAGGGACAGGGACCAGGCGCAGGTCGCCCCTGCCATTCTCCCAGCCAGAGCGGCTGGCCTATTTCTCAACAGTGAAGGCTTTTGTGCCTGAAGATGAGGCTTGGGCAAATACAGGATGAAAACTCATGCCTCAGAAGGTAGACGAAAGACCTAGAAACAGACCACATATACCAGCTATGTCGCTGCTGGGCTTTCAAAGCCATGGTTGGTTTGCAGCCTTTTCCATCACGTGCCAACAAAAATCCTGTTGGCCCAGGAGACATTAGGAAGCCTCTGTGGGAGCTGTCTGGATGGCCCTGAGGAATGAGAAAATACACGGGCCATTGGCCTCATCTAGGGAATCACAGGGCGCTGGGTAGCCACGCCTCGGGGCTGGTGGACCACACTGCACTTGCAGAGGGAGATACTCATTCGACTGAGAAAAAGACCTCGGAGAGGCCCCAAGCCAGTGACCTCACGCTGGAATATGAGTGTAGCAGGAAGAAGGGAACACGACTCGGGAAGCAAGAGGAGTGAGATGAAGATTTCTGGGGATTTCTGATGTCTCAAACATGTAGCCGTTTATTTGCAGTAATTCTGTTCCTTTTCGGGCCAGACCTGTCTGCTACGTCTCAGGCAGGGGGAGAAGCTTGGAAGCTGCTGGGAAGGGAAAGGTAACCTGGCCGTTCTGGAATCTCATTTGCTTATTCATCCAACAAGGATTTATTAAGTGCTCGTAACGAGTGCCAGGCAATAAACACGTTTCCTTCTGTCAGAAATGTGCAAACAAAAGGGAAAGTTTAACAAAGAGTCCACCAGCAAGACAAAGCGACCCATTCAGTTTCTCCTGAAAACAAATGGGAACACAAGCTCTCCGGAAGCTAGAAGCAGATGATTTTTTCCAAAGCTGCGTACTTTTCACTGAGTGTGATGCTTTTATTACAAGTGGATGATAGCGATTGGGTAAATTAACTCTACATTGATATTCAAAGGGAATTACGTTAATGATAATAACTTAGTATCTTCAAAGGGATAAAAATGCCTTACACAAAGAGCATGAACCTGGACATATTTTATAAATGGGGAAACTGAAATTTAGACATTTCTTCTAAAATTTCAAAGTAAAACAATGTCTTTAACACTAGAGAAACCAGTTTTAAAAATACAGTGTAGGATACCATGAAACTCAACAAAGATTAAAGTCTTACTTCATCGGGGTTTTTTTGTTTTGTTTTGTTTAAATTAGCATTGAGAACTCAAATAACCCCCACATTACATCCACAAACTTTCTATTATTCTTTGGTCTCTCTAGATTTTTGGCTGGAGATTCCTATTTAGCCTGTGTGTGCAGCTGTCATTTACTTTCAAACTTAATGTGAAAGAGATTCGAATGGCCATGCCGGTGTGTGTGGAAGGAATGGAGCAGGATTTACATATTACCACACAGGCTTTAAAGCAACTTGTAATTTATTTTACAGGTTGAGTAAATCATGCATTGCTCTTGGGTAAGGCTCTTGGGCACGTCATCCTGGGTGGATTTGAAAGAGATTAACATTTACTCTATGCTGTGCATAGCTTGACCTAGTGTCCTGGTACCTGCAGCAACCAGCTAACGAAAATCCCAACAGGAATCCAGTTAAATAAAAAGGGAAGATCTGATGCAATACTTCAAATGGCAGAAAACATATACAAAAAAAAAAAAAAAAAACAAAAAAAAAACAGAGAAACTCAAGACTCGTGTTCAATTGGCTGGGATGAGAGTGGGGTACAGGACCAAGTTAACCGGGTTAATTTAGCTGTGCCCCACACATCCCCTTCAATCAGACCCCGTGTTCCTCCTGTACAATGAGAGTGCTGAGCTCGTTCATTCCTCATATGTGACCATCAGCTTTCGCTGCAGAGGTCAAAGCACTTCGGGCATTCATGCCATCATATACACTTGTACCAGAGGACCTAGGATATGCCAAAATCCCACTTACAAAATGTCACTGGGAGCAACTACATTGTCGAAATAAGCTGTTAAGACAGCAATCACAATTTACCAGAAGTAGACACATCCCAGCTTTATGGCTTCTTGGGTGGGGCCAATGAATCAGTTAGAGATGCCTTGTCTAGTGTGGTGGCCGCTAACTGCATGTGACTATCGAGCCCTTGAAATGTGACCAGTCTGCCTTGAGATGTGCTATAAGCATAAAATGAACACCAGATTTTGAAGGTTTTATACAAAAAATATGTATATATAAAAAATACCTTAATTTTTCTATTTATTACATGATGACATGAAAATATATTAGATTTATTTGTCTAAATAAATTATATAAAATATCTAATATATATAACTTAAAGTAATTTAATATAAACATATTATTAGAATCACTTTTAACTATTCCTTTTTTTGCCTTTGCATATTGATACATAATATTTGTACATATTCATGGCATACATGTGATATTTTGATACATACAATGTGTAATGATCAAATCAGGACTTTTAGGGGGTCCATCACCTTGAACATTTATCATTTCTTTGTGTTGAGAACATTTCAAATCTAGGTATTTTCAAAAATATAATGTTGTTGGCTATCATCACCCTACTGTGCTATCAAACAGTAGAACTTATTTCTTCTATCCAACTGTAGGTTTGTACCCATTAACCAACCTCTCCTCATGTCCCCTCTCCAACACACCTCTCCAAGCCTCTGGTAAGTATTATGCTACTCTCTGTCTCTACGAGATCAACTATTTTAGTTCCCACATATGAGTGAGAATATGTGATATTTTTCTTTCTGTGCCTGGCTTATTTCATAATGACCTCCGTTTCCATCCATATCCCTGCAAATGGCAGGATTTCATTCTTTTTTATGGCCAAACAGTATTTCATTGTGTATATATGTCACATTTTCTTTATATATTCATCCACTGATGGACACTCAGGTTGATTTCATATCGTGGCTATTGTAAATCATCCTGCAAAAAACATGGGGGTGCAGGTATCTCTTTGATACACTGATTTCCTTTCCTTTGGATAAATACCCGATAGTGGAATTGTTGGATTGTATGGTAGCTCTATTTCTAGTTTAAGTAATCTTCATACCAGCTGGGCATGGTGGTTCACGCCTGTAATCCCAGCACTTTGGGAGGCCGAGGCGGGTGGATTACCTCAGGTCAGGAGTTCAAGACCAGCCTGGCCAACACAGTGAAACCCTGTCTCTGCTAAAACTACAAAAAATTATCCAGGTGTGGTGGCAGGTGCCTGTAATCCCAGCGACTCGGGGGGCTGAGGCAGGAGAATCACTTGAACCCGGGAGGCAGAGGTTACAGTGAGCCGAGATTGTGCCACTGCACTCCAGCCTGGGCGACAAGAGTGAAACTCCCGTCTCAAGAGAAAAAAAAAATCTTCATGCAGTTTTCCATAATGGCTGTACTAATCTACGTTCCTACCAACAGTGTGTGAATTCCCTTTTCTCCACATCCTTGCCAGCATTTGTTATTTTTTGTCTCTTTGATAACCCCATTCTAAATGGGGTAAAATGATAGCTTCTTGTGAAGCGAATATCCAGAATGTTCTGGCTTCCGGAGAGCTTGTGTTCCCATTTGTTTTCAGGAGAAACTGAATGGGTTTTGATTGGCATTTCCCTGATGATTGGTGATGTTGAGCATTTTTTCATATATCTGTTGGCCATTTGTATGTCTTCTTTTGAGAAATAATTACTCAGATCCTTTGCCCACATTTTAATGGGATTATTATTATTGTTATTTGCTGTTGAGTTGTTTGAGTTCCTTGAACATTCTGGATATTAGTTCCTTGTCAGATGAATAGTTTACAAACATTTTCTCCCATTCAACAGGTGTCTCTCCACTCTGTTGAGTGTTTCTTTTTCTGGGCAGTAGCTTTTTAGCTTAATGTAGTTCCACTTGTCTATTTTTGTGTTGTTGCCTGTGCTTTTGAGGTCTGAGCCATAAAACCTTTGCCGAGACCAATGTCCTGAATTGTTTCCCCTGTTTTCTTCTAGTAATTTTATAATTTCAGGTCTTACATTTAAGCTTTTAACTCACTTTTGCATGGATTTTTTTAATATGGTGAGAGAGAGGGTATCCAGTTTTCCCAGGGCCATTTATTAAAGAGGATGTTCGTTCCTCAATGTATGTTCTTGGCACCTTTTTCAAAAATCAGTTGGCTGTAAATATATAGACTTATTTATATCTGGGTTCTCTATTCCATTCCATTGATATATGTGTCTGTTTTTATACCAATATCATGATGTTTAGATCATTATAGCATTTGGTACATATTTTTTTTGGAGACGGAGTCTTGCTCTGTTGCCCAGGCTGGAGTGCAGTGGCATGATCTCGGCTCACTGTGACCTCTGCCTCCCAGGTTCAAGCAGTTCTCCTGCCTCAGCCTCCCAAGTAGCTGGGATTACAGGCGCCCACCACCACGCCTGGCTAATTTTTTGTATTTTAGTAGAGACAGGGTTTCACCATATTACCCAGGCTGGTCTCAAAATCCTCAGCTCAGGCAATCCGCCTACCTTGGTCTTCCAAAGTGCGAGGATTACAGGAGGGAGTCACTGTGCCCAGCCAGCATTTGGTATATTTTGAAGTTCCATCAGGTGATACCTCTAGCTTTTTTTGTTGTTGTTTTTGTTTTTTCTTTTTTGTTTTTTGTCAGCATTGCTTTGACTATTCAGGTTCTTTTGTGATTTCATATAAACTTTAGGATTCTGTTTCTGTTTTTGTAAAGAATGTCATTGGTATTTGGATAGGGATTGAATTGAATCTGTAGATTGCTTTGGGTAGTAGCATCATGATTATTTTAATAATATTAGTTCTTCTGATCCATAAGCATGGGATATGTTCATTTGTTTGTATCTTCTGTCTTCTTCAGTTTCTTTCATCAGCATTTTATAGTTTTCTTTGTAGAGGTCTTTCACCTCCTTTGTTAAATTTCTTCCTCAGTATTTTATTTTTTTTGGCAGCAATTGTAAGTGAGATTTCTTTCTTGATTTCTTTTTCAGCGACTTCATTATTGGCATATAGAAATGCTGTTGAATGTAGCTATTAGAAAATCTAAAATTAGCAATGTGGCTCAAATCATAATTGTATTGCACAGCCTTGAGCTAGGGAACATTTACTCCCTCAAGTTTAATGGCTATATGCCCAAGTAGTTTTCTGATTTGTTTTTATATTTTCCAGCAATCCCTGATTGTTCCAGAGACATTTTTAATGTACTATAATTGGGACCTCATCATAATCCTCCTCGGGCTGCTCCCCTCTCTCTCTCCCTTGTCTCGTTAAGTGGCAGTCCATTCCATCCATGCACCCAAGCCAACAACTTGCCTTTATATACTCTCCTTTTCTTCCTTTTCACATTCAGTCAGTTTCTATATCCTGTTACTTCCTTTCTTCAAGATATCATGTATTTGTTTTTTCCTCTTCATCCACATGGTGGGTATTTTTCTGGAATAGAAGGCTACCTCCTCCTCCTCCTCCTCCTCCTCCTCCTCCTCCTCTTTCTCCTCCTCCCTCTTCTTCCTTCTCTTCCTTCTTCTCTTCTTCCTCCTGCTCCTCTTCCTCTTCTTCCTCATCCTCTTCCACCTCCTCCTCCTTTTCCTCTTCTTCATCCTCCTCTTCCTCCTACTCCTCTTCCTCTTCCTACTTCTCTTCCTCCTCCTCCTCTTTCTTGCCCCCCTTCTCCTCCTCCTTCTCCTCTTTCTTTTTTTTTATTTATTTTTGAGATGGGGTCTCACTCTGTCTGTTACCTAGACCAGAAAGCTGTGGCATGACTATTGCTCTCTGTAGCCTCTAACTCCTGGGCTCAAGCGATCCTCCTGCCTCAGCTCTCGAGTAGCTGGGGCCACAGACTCACACCACCATACTCAGCAAATTTTTAATTATTTTTTGTAGAGGTGGGGTCTTGCTGTGTTGCCCAAGCTTGTCTTGCGCTCCTGGCTTCAAGCAGTCTTCCTGCCTCGGCCTCCCAAAGCACTGAGATTATAGGCATGAGCCACTAATCTTGACCACAGAGGCTATCTTCTGACTGAATTCTTGCCCTTCTCCTAGCCAAGTTTCTCATCTCCAACACTCATTTCCTCTAGTCAGTCAATTTCTTACTGGTAGAGCTGCTACTCTGAAACACAAATCTAATTATGCAATTTTTCTTCTCCAAATTCTTCTCCAGCTCCTCCCATTGCTTATACAAGGAGATTTCCCCCACCCCCCACCTTTATATGACATTCAAGGCTCTTTATGATCAGGCCCCTGCAGGTCTTTTCAGCCTGAGCTATCGCTCCTTCTTCAGGAAGTTTTACTCTAGTATTGCTGGTGCTTCACCAGAAGGTCATGGTTTCCCTGGCCCTTATGTCTCTGTCCATGCTGAGCTTTGTGCCTGGGTTCTGCCCTTTTCCTTGTCTGCTGAAAATTCTATTGTCCCCAGAAGTTAACTCAGCTTTTTCTATGAATCCTTTCCTGACTTGAAGCTCAGACTTAGGGTCTTAAGACTTAGGGTCTTCTCTTCCTAGATCTCCACTCACCATCCTTAAAGATTAAGTTCTCAGGCTTGTCCTACATTCGTAGTAAATTTGGCCAGATGCAGAGTCAAATTTTCATTTGTTAGAAATCCGCCTTGTGTCCTGTGTGTGCTGTACAAATAGAAGACTAAGATTCACCTACAGATGTGTGAGTGCAAGATGCTAAGACCAGGTGGCCCTTAACTCAGCCAGAGAAGTGAAGCTCACCCACAGCAAGGGCTGTGTTGGCTGGACTCTGGGGTGATGGGGACAATGATGACATTTGCCGAGTTCCAGTCACCGTGATCAGTGCATCAGTTAAATGTGATCATCCCCATTCTAAAACGAAGACTCAAAAAGTGAAATTGCTTGCCGAAGGCTCAACAGCCACTAAGGGATATTTGGCTGCCAATCCCACTCCGCTTCCACTCTACCAAATACCTCCTAAATTCGTGCCGTGGTTGGTGGTATTCAGAGTATGATATGCAGGCGATGATGACCTGATTCCTCAGGAAGAAAGAGTATGGGAGGAGCCAGAGAGCTGTAGGTCATGGGGTCCACTAGGGTGCAGAGACAGAGAAAGAGAGGTGGGGAGCAGATATGAAGACTGTGTAGGTTCAGGTCCCACAGCCTTAGGGCAACCAGCCTGTGACCTCTTAGTAAATTGGTCTGATGTATGGGCTATTCCCCTAAGGAGCACAGGAAGAGTCATTTTGTAACTTAGTTTTAGATTCAGGCTAGACTTTTGCTGCAGCTTTCAGACCTGAACCCCCAGGCTCTGTGGGGTGGGGAGTTGAAAACATGTTCCTCTGCTCCAAGGAGCTTTTCCTTTATCAAACAAGGGAACCAGCAATACAATAAAAGCGACTGCTTTAAACAAGGGTGTATCAGCTTAAAGAAACTATCTAGATTTCTGGCAAGTCTATTTTGCTTTACTGACTAATGTTTTCATGAAGAGTCTTGATAGACTAACAAAGGATGAAGAAGCCTCTTTGATAGAGAAACCCAATGAGGTCATTGAGCAGGACGTGTGCTCAGGTTTATAAGCTATGTTCCAGGAACAGCCAGGAGTCTGTGGAAGCGTCTAAGGTTCCCATTAAAGTGTTTTCCAAGTAGAGTTGAGTTTTATGCAAAATGGCTGATTTGCTAAAATCATGACTTAGTCCAGGTTTTCAGAAACATACGAAGGGTATAAACCCACGTAGATCTCTTTGTAGCTTAAGAACTGAAACATCACTAGTAGAGTGGAGGTCTCCATGTACCTTCCCTCATTATCTCCCTCCCTCTCCCCTCCCAGGGGTAACTGCTACCCTGAATTTGGTATTTATCATCTGATACCGTTATTTATATTACAAATATGTTTGTAATAAAAATAAACAATATTGCAAGTATATTTTGGTGCTCTCAAGAGATGATATCTAAGTGTATGAATCATCTGCGATTTGTTTATTTCACTCAATAGTTTTAGTGTGAGAGTCACTGACATGGGTGTGTATTGTTATAACTCATTCAAAATGGGTGTGTATTATTGTAATTAATTCATCGTGGGTGTGTATTGTTGTAATTCATTCATCATGGGTGTGTATTGTTGTAATTCACTCATCATGGGTGTGTATTGTTGTAGTTCATTCATTTTCCCTACTGAATGAATTGATTGAGTACAACATTGTGTGAATATACCGCAAGTCATGATCCGTTGTCTTGTGAGTGGACATTTCCCATTTTTTTAACCATTACAAACAATACTGCTATGACCATTTATATATACATCTCCTTGAGCTCATGAGAAAAAGTTTCCCAGTGTCTGCACCTGGGAGGGAAATTGCTGGGCTGTGAGGTACAGGTGTCCTAACATTTACTATATTGCTCTCCAAAGATGGTGACCATTAAAATATGTTCTATTTCTCTAAATGGCACCTATATCTTCACTGTGTTATGTAGCATTTGTATCTATGTATAATTAAGGATGATGTCAAAAAAGAAAGAATGTGTTTCTATCTACATGTGGCACACTTATTATGCTTGTTTTATTGCGTTCTGAAAATGCGAGTAAAGAGAGATTACTTGATGGCTTTCCTCCAAACCTCCAACCACTCTCACTCTTTCCTAACATTTACTTTCATTTTTTAAATTTTCTAACTTTCAATTTTATTATCCCAATATCTCAGAGCCCTCTCCAGTGGCATTGCATTGTATGCGGCATTAATCCATATAACCTGATCAGAGGAGATGTGATTTTATTTTTCTGTACATAAAACTCATAACAATGTAAGGAAACCTGCTAGACTCTGTGACTGAAAACAAGCCCACATCCTTTATGGCTATTGAGGAAGGAGAATCGCCACATGGGAAGGGACAGACGCTAAGCCCTGGAGTTTTAATTCCTTTCTTTTGAGGCCCGGCTTCCCTGGGGATTACTCATTATTTATTGCCCCCAGTGCTGGGCTGGGATCAAGGTGACTCTTACCAGTACTGTCTCTCAGAGGGCCTCCATAAGAATTTCTATTTTATATTTTCAACACAAGAATCTATTCATGTATTTATTTAGAGATAGGGTCTTGCTCTGTCTCCCAGGCCAGAGTGCAGTAGCACCATCATAGCTCACTGTAGCCTCCAACTCCTGGGCTCAAGTGATCCTCCTGCCTCAGCCTCCCGAGTAGCTGGGACGATAAACATGTGCCACCACACCTGACTACGTTTTTTAAAAAATATGTTTGTAGAGATGAGATCTCACTGGGTTGCCCAGGCTGGTCTCAAATTCCTGGCTTGCAGTCCTCTTGCTTTGGCCTCCCCAAAGTGCTGGGATGACAAGTGTGAGCCACCACATGCAGTCCACAATAATCTTAAAGACACAAAGAGTATAAGAGGATTGGGGACCACCTGATGACCACTTCATAGTTGAGTACTGGCCCAGGATTGTTTTGCCTGCCATATTTCTTTCAGACCAACAAAGAAAGACTAGAGATTTACTTAGTAACAAATGATGTGGTTCTGCCAAATGTAAGCTAAGGGCCTCTCGCTGTATTGTTCAAGGTTTGCAGAAGGTTGGGTAGGAAAAAAGCAATAGGAGAATTGACTCCTAACCCAGCACGGGGCAATATAGACATGCCAATCTCAAAAGAACCCACAGAAGAGGAGTCAGAAACATATTCATGCTAAAAACTGCAATTTCATTTCAGCCAAAAAATATCAATATCAGGGTAAAGCAATAAATTTGAACGTTGTTAATTTTATGTATTTTTGGATTTAATTTAAAATTTTGTTTGACTTTCTAGTTACGTAAGAACTCTTCAGCATGAGGAGATTGTATTTTTAATTGTTTTAGACATATTTAAGGAACTAAAGTTAAGATAAAAATAAGTTAAGCCAGCACTGGGGGTCTAGAAGTAGGTTGTTTTTTGAAAGGGATCCATACATCATACATTTAAAGTGAAATCAAACCTCTCCATATAGCTGAGACCCAGCTGGAGCATTTAAATAAGGCTTTCTAAAATCTCAATGATATCAAAAAATGGAAACAGACAGATTTGCAATGCTAATCTTGATTACAAGGGGGTAATTCACTCGTCTTCAGCTTTGGCTCCTCATCTGGTCTACCATTTGCCCCCTTCCTTGGTCTTCAGCACCCTGAAGCTCCCTCAAAGCCGATGCGGGTTTTCAAAATCCATACCCTAGACCTTGAAGTCTAGAGAAAGACAGAACCTCCCTGCCTAACCTATCGGGCGTCACTGCCAGATACTTTCCAGTCAAGTATTTCAAACACAGATGGTTTAAGACAGGGAATGGGTCCCTCAGGCGCTGGAAGAGCTAAGAGGCCAAGCAGGGGATGGCGAGGTGACAGCAGGAAGCCGCGACCCCGTCATGGCCGTTGGGACACAGCCAGGAAAGGAGGTTACTGGAGGGCAGAGGCGGAGCCATCTGCCAGGAGTGAGAATTACAGCAGGGACTGCTCCATCGGTGCCTGAGTAGTTAGGAAAGAACGATTGATTGATTAATAATGTCTGGGAGGGGAGGCCGTGCTATGAGAAGGAAAGAGAAGGTTCTGTCTTATTCTGCCCTCCGACTTTCTGCCAGTGCTTCCCAGTGCCAAAGGCGATTGGCCAGAGAACCTAGGGAATGCACTTCCTGTGATGCAGAGCAGAGCTGGAGACGGGAGGGGAGCAGGCGCATGGAGACAAGCCTCCTAAGCTCGGTTTCCTTTTCGCCTGACCCTTCACTCCTCTCAGATAACTCATGCTAGGAGTGACCGTCTGTATATGACTCCATACTCTACACACTGGTGTAGCCTCATCTTACAGCAGGAAAGGCAAATTATTCCAATTTTATACCAGTTCTGATTGGTTGCTGCGGTTGCCTGGAGCCCTGTGTGGAGGTTCCTGTGGCTCCATCTGTGCATGTGTAGTCAGAAAAGAATGAAATATTGATTAATAATGTCTGCTGTGAGTACAGAAGGGGAGTACACGCATCATTTGGTGTAGACCATCCCTGTATCCTGGCTTCATCAGAAAAATCATGCAGAAGGCAACACAAAAGTTAGCATCCATGTGGAGCAAGTGTGAACCTTAATATATCTGCAAACCTGGGTGTGCAAGAATGTCAATGTCTTTATTCTATTAAATTGAATTCGTTTGAATCTAAGCCCTCACTTCTCTGGATGAGCAGGGATTTCCATCTTGTCACTCTTCATTTTCATGGAAAATGGGAAAAGCCCTCTGCACTGCAATACATTGTTGTCCCTGCTGACAGCTCATTGGAAAGACCACAGTAGGGCAGTAGGGCAGCTCTCAGCTTCCCTGCCTTGTGTGGAGTCCACGAGTCTCTGCCGAGGCCTGGGGCACTAGTGCTCAGGATCCAGCATTCCCAGGAGCCGCCTGGGATCTTGCCTCCTTCCTGGGGCTCTGCCAGAGACTAAGGTAAAGATTTCTACTGCTCTAGGATGCCTGGGTTCCCCCTCTTCCCAGCTGAAGGAGTCTCTCTTCTCTGCATTTTTTTTTTCTTCTCAGAGGCAAGGTGTTGCTCTGTCATTTAGGCTGGAGTGCAGTGGTGCAATCATAGCTCACAGCAGCCTCAACCTCCTAGGCTCAAGCGATCCTCCCTCCTCAGCCTCCTGAGTAGGTGGGACTAAAGACACATACCACCATGCCCAGCTAATTTTAAAAATTTTGTTTGTAGAGACAGGGTCTCGCTATGTTGCCCAGGCTTGTTTTGAACTCCCGGCCTCAAGCGAGCCACCGCGCCCGGCTTCTCTCTATTCTTAATGCACAGGCTTCACAATGGAGGTCAGAATGAGGACATTATTGGTTCCCCATTGTCCTCTTGGTCAATGCAACCAACATGCTGGTCAGATATTTAATTTTAATTTTCTACTTATGGAGTAACTGTCTTTAGACTTTTCCAATAGAACTACACAAACATGGCCAGTGCGGTGGCTCACGCCTGTAATCCCAGCACTTTGGGAGGCTGAGGTGGGCGGATTACGTTGTCGGGAGATCGAGACCATTCTGGCTAACAAGGTGAAACCCCGTCTGTACTAAAAATACAAAAAAGTTAGCCAAGTGTGGTGGCGGGTGTCTGTAGTCCCAGCTACTCGGGAGGCTGAGGCAGGAGAATGGCATGAACCCAGGAGGTGGAGCTTGCAGTGAACCAAGATCATGCCACTGCACTCCAGCCTGGGCGACAGAGCGAGACTATGTCTCAAAAAAAAAAAAAAAAAAAAAAAAAAAAGCACTACACAAACATATCCTGCTTTGGCTATGTATTTATTTATTTTCCAGCAAACTGTAGTGTATTGAGACTGACACGAACCCATTACATCACCCTCCCTTCATGCTGTGTGACGTCCCCTCCCCTCTCTGTCTTCTCCCCCAGGAAGCCTGGCAACATCTTTTGAATGAGCTTGGTTCTCAGAAACTAGAACCTGGGGTAGAAAGTGTCCTGCAAGCAGTTTCTGCCTTTGGGCTGAAGTGGGAACTCATCTTAAGTGAAGGGAACAGGGGCCTGCTGCCCTTTAAAAACAAAGGAGAGAAAAAGGGAGAAAATAAATTAGTTAAACATCTCCAAAACTTAGTCTACAGCATTTCCAAGAAATGTTCCCTGGGGAAGGGAGGGAGGGAGGAAGGCAGAAAGGGCTGCAGGAAGGAAGGGCTGCTCTCATCGCAGAAGGTTCTGTTTTTTCATATATATATATGAATTTTATTTTTTATTTAGAGGGTACATGTCCTTGCTTATCACATGGGTATTACATGTGTAAAGGGGGGATTGGACTCCCAGTGTACCCATCACTCAAATATTAGACATTGCACCTAGTAGGTAATTTTTTAACCCTCTCCTCTCCTGTCCTGGTCCCTTAGGAATCACTAGAATCTATTTTCATCTTTTTGTTCATATGTACCCTTTATTTAGCTCCCACTTAAAAGTGAGAACATGCTTTTGTGCTTCCTGTTAGTTCACTTAAGATAATGGCCTCCAGCTCCATCAGTGTTGCTGCAAAGAACATGATTTCATTTTTTCATGTCTGCATAGTATTTCATGGTGTACATGTACCACATTTTCCTTATCGAATCAGCCATTGGTGGACCCTTAGGTTGCTTACATGACTTTGCCATTGTAACCACTGTTGCGATGAACATATGAGTGCATGTGACTTTCTGATATAATGGTTTATTTTCCTTTGGGTAGATAGCCAGAAGTGGGGTTGCTGTCCCTGCAGTGGACAGATACCCTACCAGACTCAGGAGGGATCAGTAAATAGGAACTACTGCAACTTCCTTTTGGAGCTTGGAATCAAGAAGTCAAGGAATTTTAATAACCTCAATCTTAGACTCTGAGCACATGTAAAATTCCTAGGCGTGTGACAAATCCAATGCTTAGGTTATTAGATATGATGCTAAACTGAGATTTCTCCAGAAAAAGCCCAGAGTCTGCAAATTCCTTCATCTTTCCATGAATGAATATGAAATTGATAACCTGCCTTGGTGGAGTAATTTCTAAAAGCGCTGATGTGTTTTCACCTTGTTTCATTAGCTAATGCTCATTGGGAGAGGAGCGGGAGGAAAATGGAAATGTGTGGTTTGGGGTTCCTGGCTGTAAGCGTGTTTCCTAGGAAACCTCCTGGGATTGAGTGCAGCAGGCTCTCTGAAGGGTGAGAGAAGGGAGAAATATGAAAGTGAATATGCACAGAGAAACGAAAAAATAAATCACTGGCAGAGCCTCTAGGTCTTTAATTAATAAAGAAAATACTCCATTCTGAGTGAAATCTTTAGGAACTGCTGATGAGATAGAGGCAGGATTGGGGGAGGCTGGGAGAGGGTAGAAGAAGTACAAGCAGATCCATTGGCTGGACAGGAATGTAATCTAGAACAGTTCAGCCCAATTAATATGCAAAAAATTAAGCAATTTACAGATGAAATAATAACATTATCTCTATTTCAGCTTTGCATTATAAATGGAAATAACGATCTAATTATCCTCTGAGAATGAAGCCGATACTACTTATCAGCAGTTCACAGGCTCTGATTTGTTTTACCAATGGAGTCCACATATGAAATATGCACTTCTCTGTCCAAGCTCTTTTGTCTCCTTCCTTTTAGGATCAATACTGTAGACTAGGACCTGATATGGTTTGCCTCTGTGTCCCCACCCAAATCTCATACTGAATTGTAATCCCCAGTGTTGAGGGAGGGACCTGGTGGGAGGTGATTGGATCATGGGGATGGATTTCCCCTTTCTGTTCTCATGAGAGTGAGAGAGTTTTCATGAGATCTGGTTGTTTAAAAGTACGTAGCATTTCCTTCTTCACACTCTCTCCTGCCACTGTGTGAAGATGTGCTTGCTCCCCCTTCACCTTCCACCATGATTATAAGCTTCCTGAGGCCTCCCCAGCCATGTCTCCTGTACAGCCTGTGGAACTGTGAATCAATTAAACCTCTTTTCTTTGTAAATTACCCAAACTCAGGTAGCTCTTTATAGCAACGTGAGAATGGACTAAAACAGGACCTACAGGAAGGAGAGCTGGCCGGGATGAGGTGTGCCACCTCGGGACATGAAGCACACTCACTCAACTGCCCATATACATCTCTGATAGTCACAGCCCATCTCCCACCTTTCCTGAGGGTGGGAAATATGGTGTTGATGGACTGATGAATCAACAATGTGTTTAAAATGACAAGCAGTTGCCAGGTGTGGCGGCTCATGTCTGTAATTCCAGTGCTTTGGGAGGCTGAGGCAGGAGGATCACTTGAACCCAGGAGTTCCAGGCTGCAGTGAGCTATGATGGCACCACTGTACTCCAGCCTGGATGACAGAGTGGGACCCCATCTCTACAAAAAATACAAAAACTACCCAGGCATGGTGGCAATACCTCTAGTTCCAGCTACTTTGGAGGCTGAGGCAGGTGGATCACTTGAGCCCAGGAGTTTAAGACCACAGTGAGCTATGATCATGCCACTGCACTCCAGCCTGGGTGACAAGGTGGGACCCTGTCTCTAAAAATAAATACATAAATAAAAGATGAGCAGGGAGTATTTAAAAGACGTTTTCATCAATCTTACTACGTATTTCTGTGTCTCCATTATAACTAATATTTAAATATTAGGCATATTAAAGGAGACATATGGTTGCCTGATGAATCTTAAAACTTATTTTTCATGGAAATACTTACATAGCATGGGTTTTCTATAAAAACAATGGTCTATGAAAGTATGTATTTGGACTGTAAATAGGTACAGCCCAGAAAGTTTTAAGAACTTGGATCTGGCTCATTCATGATGTTTATGGGTTCCTAGAAACATCCTTATCAATATTTTGTTATTTCTGTGCTCTGGTGTGTAAATTAGGTTTGTTTTCAGTGATGTGCATATTATAGCTCATTTCTAATTACAAGTGTGTGAGCATCCATATTTGTCTGGGTATGTATGCAGGAAGTAAAATCCTAGCGTAAACCCCTAATATCCTACAAATCACATTAACACTAGACGGTCTTGCCCAAGATCTTAAAGCTAAATGTTTCTAGGTGTGTAAGTCCTCCTGGAAACAGGGTGGAGGAGATTATTCTCATTGTTTCTTTTCTTTTTTTTTTTTTTGAGACAGAGTCTCGCTCTGTCACCTAGGCTGGAGTGCAGTGGCGCAATCTCGGCTTACTGCAACCTCCACCTCCTGGGTTCAAGGGATTCTCCTGCTCAGCCTCCTGAGTAGCTGGGATTACAGGCACATGCCACCATGCCTGGCTAATTTTTTGTATTTTTAGTAGAAACAGGGTTTCACCATGTTGGCCAGGCTGGTCTCGAACTCCTGACCTTGTGGTCCACCCACCTCAGCCTCCCAAAGTGCTGGGATTACAGGCGTGAGCCAGCGCACCCGGCCATTCTCATTGTTTCTTAAACAACAACCAAAAGGGTTTTTCTCTTGATTCTTAATCCCTTTGAGAATGTCTTCTCTGTTCATTCACTGTTTGCAAAGGCAAGTTCCTGGTTGAGATGATGGTGGCCCTGTTTTAGTCAACCATGTTGAAAGATGCAATGATAGTTTCTATAAAAAAGATTAAAACAGTCACGACATATAAACTCCATAGAGCTCATTAACCTGGAAACTAAAGGGGGATAATTAAAACACTTTTATTTCCTTTCAACATCAGACTACCTCTTGTGGACTCCAGAATAGTAAGAGGGGGTGGATGCACATCAAATGCTTGGTGGTGGGTCTGAATTTTCTCCAACACCTCGTGACATTGTACAAATTGCACAATACACATTAATGGAGGGTTTTCCTCTTAAGGGAATGAGAACGGCCAATATTACTGAGTTTATCGTCCCAGACAGAGATCTAAGAATATTACTGGAATTGAATTATCCTAGAACACCTTGAGGTAGGAATTGTTTATATAATCTACTCCTTTATAGACAAGGAAATAGAGGCACAGAAACATTAAGTGACTGTCCCAAGATCACATAGTAAGTGGAAGATCTGTGATTTGAATCTAGGCAGTGTGTGGTACCAGGGCCCACTGACCCAACAGCACTCTACAGCAGGGGTCCCTAACCCCTGGGCTGTGGACCAGTACCAGTCCGTGGCCTGTTAGGAAACAGGCCACACAGCAGGAGGTGAGTGGCGGGCAAGGGAACATTACCACCTGAGCTCCACCTCCTGTCAGATCAGCAGCGGCATTCGATTCTCATAAGAGTGCAGACCCTGTTGTGAACTGCACATGCCAGGGATCTAGGTCGCACGTTCCTTATGAGAATCTAATGCCTTATGAACCACCACTGTTTCCCATCACCCCCAGATAAGACAATCTAGTTGCAGGAAAACAAGCTCAGAGCTCACACTGATTCTACATTATGGCGAGTTGTATAATTATTTCATTACATATTATAATAATACAAATAAAGCCCACAAGAAAGGTAATGTGCTTGAATCATCCTGAAACCATTCCCCTCTCCCCAGTCCACGGAAAAAGTATCTTCCACAAAACCAGTCCCTGATGCCAAAATGGTCAGGGACCACTGATTACCAGTATCTCTGGCCTGCAGATACCATTTGGCCCCAGCATCTGGAGGCAACTCTCCCACTCTTAGGAATATAATGACCATCAGGGTTGGCTCTGAACTGTCTGACCCCCTCCCTGACCTTTAGACTCTCACCTGATCTGACTCATCAGCTTTCCTTCTACTGCAGGTTGGCATAAGAAAAGGAAAATGTGTTCCTTTTCGAAAAGATAATATGCCCTAGGCTACCAAATCTGCAAGATCCAGGCCATCTTTCAATGAACCTACCTGTCTGGCATTTGTTTGTTTATTTCTAATTTATACCTTGCATCCAAAAAGGAGTTGAAGCAACTTAAAGACATGCATATCTACATTTATTAAAACAAAAATAGAAAATTGCAAATGTGAGGAGGAAATGAAGCAAATAGATGATGATATTTGCTGTAATTAAGCATTACATTTAGTTATTGCTCTGTCATTTGCCTCAACTGATTACGTGCAGAACTGCATATTTATTTTCAGTCCATCAGTTGACTCATGTGCCTGGTGAGTGCTGTGTGCTCTTGGTGAGACAAAGGTACTTAATTCATGGTTGTCCCTGTCCCCCAAGCTGACAGCTAGCCTTGGAGAAAGTCTGGCACAGGTGGAGCAAGAGCTGAGAACTAGATTCCATGGAACTTAGTGCCGTGTTGAGTCATTAGTGTCATAAGTAAGGATTCTGAAAGTAAAAAGTCAGGCAGTTCTGGGAGGGCAAATCTCTAGATTCATGATTCTATAGGCATCAGATGTCTCTTCTAATAGGCATCAGTTTTCCCTTCACGTGTTGGTTATCGATAATAGCCAGGATGGGGATCAACAGTTGTAAGATGAACAGAGAGGGGATCAAAATGCTAGATATTATTTTGCTGTGTAGTGCATTAAGTCATGTTGTGTTGTGTTGTGTTGTGTTGAATTATATTGTATCAGACTATATCACATCATATCCTATTTTAATGTTTCTGAACTCACACAACTGTTAGGAGAAAAAGGACATCCTGGCTATTTTCCACGTCTTGTAGGAATCACTTTTTCCCTGTAACATTCCTGTCACATAATCTAGCTGCCACATTCAGTGCAGTAGAGAAATGATGACGAAGACAGGAGCAGATGTTTGTTGTAACTTACTATGAGCCACCTTTTAAGTATTTCCCATGTATCAACTTTCTTAATCCTTACAATGACTCTAAGAGTCCTTTTACTCTCCTCATTAAGAGATGAGGAAATTGAGCCACAGAGATGTTAAGTAATTTCTTCAAGGTCACACAGCCAGCGAAGGGCAGAGCTTTTAACCACTAAGCCGTTTGCAATGATTCTTTCATTTCTAGGTGATATTGTTAGGAAAATGTTTTAAGCTTCATCTGGAATCTGCCTTCAAGTGCCTGTGATCCGCTGGTCCTAATTATCATCATTTCAGAACAAAATAAGCACGTTACTCTAAATGGAAATGGTTGCAACCCTGGATCAGAGATTTACATCCTTGCTTATAAAGAAGGTGAACATGCCCCCAGTGTTTTTGGTCAGTTTCTCTCTCTCTCAGGCAGCATAGTGAGAAATTAAGATCCTGTCTTCTGGGTCTAGGCAGCACAAGTTCAAATCCTAATTCTGCCAGCCATCAGTTGTGTGACACAGGACATGTTGCTTAACCTCTCTGTGCCTCGGTTTCTATATCCAGTAACAGTCAATATAATTTTTGCAGATAGTATTACTAAACTAGTTATACTAAACTAGTAATAATATCTGCGAAATCACCTTGTCATGATTTTTAAATCATTTGTGTATGTAAAACAGAGCCTGGCACCGTAACAATAGATGTGTGATTATCGCCCATTCACCCCCAGCCTGGGTCTATCTTCTGGACATATGCGGTCACTGGTCATTGTCCACAGCCCTCTTAAAGAGCAGCGCTCAGACGTGGTTCTGAGACACTGAGTCTCTTAATGACCTATAAATAGAACTCGTTTTAAAAATCTGTATTAGTTAATTGTATACATTATCTTGATATGGAGAAGAGAAAGATGAGTTTGATCTGGGGGAGGTTAATTAAGTGACTCTTCCAAAGTGATTCAGTAAATCAGCAGCAGAGTTAGGAATAGAATTCGAGGTTCCTGGGGCTTTCTTGCTTACTTAGCGATTCTGCTGTGTGCTGTCACCTTCCTTGTGGGTATTATTGATGCCTCCGCATGTGTCCTCACCTGCCTGTGTTTGTTCTGCCATTCTGTTTCTATGTAAGCTCATGGTAATGCCATTCTCCAAGTCACCCAGAAAACCTTGAAATGACTTTGGCTTCCTTTATTTTTGCTCCCACCACAATCTAATCAACCACCCACAGTTCCACCAGGCATCAGTCAAATGAAGAAGCAGCAGTAGATGGTTTCTAAGGACCTCTCAGCTGAGAGTTTCTTTCCACGTCTTTGCCTAAATCCAATCCTTGCTGCCTCCAAAACTCCTCTTGACCCCAAGTCCTTCTCTGCGGTTTCACCCTCTCCTCTGCTGCTCTTCATCACCTGCCCCAGAACCAAGCATCATAGGAAGGCATCTAGGTGTTTCCGCTTCCAAAGCTACTCCCTATTTGGCCCAAGGCTTGGGAAATCACCGTGTCTCTTGCCAGCTCCTGGACGACTATCCCATCTCTACCAGAACAAACTCCCAGATGGCACCCCAGCATGAGATCACCCTTCTGAGTGACACAAATTGTGCTGAGACAATGATCACACATAGAATAGTGCCACAGACAGTAGGTAGAAAAGGGCTGCTAAGACACCCTATTGTCAGTGAGGTGGTTTCAAGCAGAAACTCATCAGGGTTTTCCAATTTTCAGTTTGTATAATGAAACCTGCATACGATGCAGAGCAAAGATAATTACTTGCACTGCTTGAAAGATTCACCTGACCACACTGTAGATTTAAACAACAGCAGCAAACAGGAGTGAGAGAAACAAGCAAGAATTCTTCGGATGCGTAGATTCCTTTTTCGGTCCCCTCCTCTCTCCTCCACTCCCCTCTCCTCTTTCTTGCCTCAGAACCAGTTCTCCAAGGGGTTCCTAAAGGCTCAGGTAATGTGACTGCTGCAGCTCCCAAGAGTGACACTGATTTGCATTTTAACACAACCTCCTGTCAAAAAGAAAAATGAAACTTCAAGGAAAAAGTTTTGAAGGTCAACCCACAGGTGGGGAGGAATCTGGAGGACACCGACCCATCCTCAGGAGCGTGTAGACAGCATTCCTTCCCGTCATGTGCACTGCCCCACATGTTAGCGTCTCCTTGGTTTGAGCATTTTATTCTAACTCTTAAAACCTCCCATCCCCTTTGTACTAGCTCAGTGGAAAAGTTGCATATATTCAACATTTTGCTCCATTTTTCAATGTAAAAAAATTTTAATTGTGACAAAATATATTTAACATAAAATTTACCATTGGTCAGGCATGGTGGCTTATACCTGTAATCTCAGCACTTTGGGAGGCTGAGGCACACAGATCACCTGAGGTCAGAAGTTCAAGACCAGCCTGGTCAACGAAACCCCATCTCTACAAACATACAAAAGTTAGCCAGGCATGATGGTGGGTACCTGTAATCCCAGATACTGGGGAGGCTGAGGCAGGAGAATTGCCTGAACCAGCGAGGTGGAGGTTGCAATGAGCTCAGATCGCACCATTGCACTCCACCCTGGGCGACAGAACAAGACTCTTGTCTCAGAAACAACAACAACAACAACAACAAAAAACTATTGTAACCATCTTAAGTGCATAATTCAGTGGCATTAAATACATTCGCATTGTTGCGCTGCTATCACCCCATCCATCCATTTAGCAAAACTGAAACTCTGTCCCTATTAAATAAGAATTCCCAATTCCATCTCCCCAACCACCATTCAACTTGCTGTGTCTATGAATGTAACTATAACAGTAAACTTATTTAAGAGGAATCATATAGTATTTGTCCCTTTGTGACCAGCTTATTTCACTTAGCATGATGTCCCCAAGTTTCACCCATGTGTAGCCTGTCTCAGGATTTCCTTCCTTGTTAAGGCTAGATGATATTTAATTGTATGTATATACCATGTTTTGTTTATTCGTTCATCTGTTGGTGGATACTTGGACTGCTTCCAATTCTTGTTTATTGCAAATAATGCTGCAATGATGGACGTACAACTATCTCTTCGAGTCCTTGCTTTCAGTTCTTTTGGCTCATGCCCGGAAGTGGAATTGCTGAATCATATAATTCTCTTTATTTTTTTGAGAAACCACCATACTGTTTTCCACAGCAGCTGCACCATGTTGCATTCCACCAACAGTGTACAAGGATTCCAACTTCTCCACATCCCTGCCAACACTTGTTATTTTTTTTATCATAGCCATCCTAATGAGGTGAGGTGGCATCTCACTGTTGTTTTGATTTGTATTTTCCTAATGATTAGTGATGTTGAGCATCTTTCCATGTATTTATTGGCCATTCATATTTCTTCTTTGGAGAAATGTCTATTCAAGTCCTTTGCCCATTTTTTAATTGGATTCCATTTTTAGTATGTGAACAAATGTAGGCAGCCAAATGTAGTGGGAAGATCCAAGTTCAGATATTCTAAAAAGCTTGCGTTTTCATTCTACCCATTGAAATACTATCTGGCTTTAAGTACTTCTCTTTACCCATCTGGACTCAGTTTCCCTCATCTATAAATGACTGCATTGGATTATATAATTTTTCAAGGTCTCTTCCATGTTACAAAGTCCTGGATGGTAATAGTGATTCAAACGTTAGCTTTGAGTTGCTTATTGTACACTAACTTTTCAAATCCATGTCTTAGAGCCAGATTTCCAATTCAGGATGCAAGCGTAGCTCAGTGCTTCTGTTTCTCTTAAATCTCTTAGGGCATATGATGAATTTTTGACAGTAGTCAGACTTTAAGAAGCAGTCACCATGAGATTACAGCTTTGGAAGGGTCAGCATTTTACTAGATCAAATTTTCTGCTTAAATTGCCTGACAGTTTCCCTTAATAGCAGAACAGTGCGCTTTACTTAGAAAACCTGTGCTCAACAACTTGGAGACTGTCACCAGAACATGTATAGAAATGATGCACATGTATTGAATAACCACGATTGCATGACAGAGAAGAAGCATATTCAGAGAATTAAGAAAGCTGGGACTTTCTAGCAAAAACAAAACAACAAAAAAAAAACTTTTTTGTTTGTAGCAGCTTTTTTTTTAAAATAAAAATGTTTTTCTATTTCTTATAATGTCTCCATCTTTATTAGAGTTTTGTCATATATTATTGATCCTAATCAAAACCAGTCACTCAAACCCTGCCTTTCTCATGAATCTTTCTTTGTGGCAACATAGCCTGTTAGAGCAAATACACATTTTCGGATGCCTAAAGGGAAACGAGATTTTTTAGGCTATCGACCTTTATTGAATTCAGTCACTACGCCAGGCATCAGAGGAGCCAAAGATACAAGCAGCTGTAATGTTGTGGGTGAAACACACATGCACAGACACAAGCAGGCACACACACACATGTGCACACGTACACCTCTAACTCTAAATCAGAAAGACCGCATGGTGAGAAGTGCTGGAGAGAAGAAAGTGGAAGCAACCACCAGGTGCAGTGCAAGGAAACATGCAGTTAATTTCACCCCAAGTGAGAAGTGGGTGAGGCTGGAGTGATCATCGAAGGACAGGGGAAAAGGCCTCTGAGATGTCGCTTAAAGGAGAAATAGGATCTCACTAGGTGAAGGGGGTATGGCAGGGGTAGAGAAGGGGTTAGGGGCAGAAGGTGGAGCAATGTGATGTACGTGCTCAGTGTGTTTCAGGATGTGTCCCCTGGGGCGAGAGTGTCACATGATGTTTCATGATGTCTCATGACATTGCATGATGTCACATACATCCTATATAAAATCATACAATGGGCAAGGAATCACAGGAGGTGAGAGTGCATGGATAGCATCCGGCAGATGGTGAAGGGGTTGTGTGCCCTGCTGTTAGAGCCTCATTTTCTGACCTGTAAAATTGATGATAAAAATGCCTATTGTGAGATTTTGGCAATACCTCAGCGACTTGGATCCTGTGGGCACATCCAGGGTGCCCTGTAGATATTTGTGCCTTGCTTTGTGTCTTCTGAGTGGAGACTTCGAAGGCCCTTTCTCTACCCATTTCCAAGGCTACAGGTACCCGATAAAGCACCAGATTGCTACTGCCTCTGACGCTGATGAACTTGTCCATTCTCCATCTCCTGCTTCTCCTTGAAACCTTCCCTCTCCTGGGCATCTGTCCTCTTACCAGGCCTGTGCTCCACCTCCCAGCTGAGCTCCCTGGGTGGTGTCCCTAGGGTTGGACTGCCACTTCCCTGTGGCTGAATCTCTGCTGTCCTTCTACAATTGCTGGCCGGTCCCTGCCACTTTGCCTAATCCAGGCTCTCAAGCCAGACTTCAGTCTCCCTGAGCCCCTGCTTTATTTGGGAGAGGTGGTGACAAACTCCCTAGTTTCCTGAAAAGTTCAGACCTTTTCTGTAACAAATGGGGGATTTGAAAATGTTGAGTGGAGCAAAGGTGTGAGATATATATATATACCTACATGTGAAGGATATTCCTCTCCATTCCCATAGATTTTGAATTACAAGCATATAGAGGGAAGATGGATCCATAAAGAGAATAGGTCTAAGGAGAAAACTTTGGAGCCACCAACATTTCAGAATGCACATGAATGATTGAGTGGAGAAGAACCAGGCATGATACCAAGGAAATGGGGGAAGAGTTTCAAGGAGAAGGGGCTGATGCCCGGCCTCAGAGGTTAAGTGGAAAGGTCGTGTACCATTTAACATCTCACATCTTCAAAGCCCTCCCAAATGATATGAGGGAAAATAACACCATCTCAACGGGTTGGAAGTGAGTATTCAATAATGTGTACAAAACGTTCGAGACATTTCCTGACATATGGCAGGTACTGAAATCCTTGTTTAAAACGCATTTTCCGGCCAAGGGGGGTGGCTCACATCTGTGATCCCACCACTTTGGGAGGCCAAGGCAGGTGGATCACTTGAGGTCAGGAGTTCAAGACCAGCCTGGTCAACATGGTGAAACCCCATCTCTGCTAAAAAATACGAAGATTAGCCAGGTGTGGTGGTGTGCGCCTGTAGTCCCAGCGACTCAGGAGGCTGAGGTGGGAGAATCGCTTGAACCTGGGAGGGAGAGGTTGCAGTGAGCCGAGATCATGCCAGTGCACTCCAGCCTGGGTAACAGAGTGAGATTCCATCTCAAAATAAAATAAAATAAAATATGTACAATAAAATGCATTTTCCTCCTGCTATCCTAGAGACTTGAATTTAGGTAGCCTTCAAAATTTACGTGTATATGATTTAATGTGAATTATAAAGAAAATACACAATGCATTTGTGAAAGCCCATCTTCTAGTTATAGTGTTTCTAAATTGTCTAGTAGTGTGTGGATATACACAAAGGTAAAGAAAAAAATTATATGTAGAAAATTCATAGAGATTAACATAGAGGGGTTTCTAGAAAGATAATTGAACCAAATCTGCTGTCCCGGAAGCCCAAGAGTAACAATATGTCTTATAGGAAACATATTTGGCCAGGTTCTGTCACTCATGTCTGTAATCTTAACAGTCTGAGAGGCTGAAGTGGGAGGATTGCTTGAGCCCAGGCATTCCAGACTAGCCCAGGCAACATGGCAAGACCCCATCTCTACAAATCACAAAAAAATTAGCCCAGTGTGGTGGTATGCACTTGTGGTCCCAGCTACTTGGGAGGCTGAAGTAGGAGGATTGCCTGAGCCCAGGAAGTCAAGGTTGTAGAGAGCCATGGTTGAGCCACAGTATTCCAGCCTTGGTGACAGAGTGAGACCCTGTCTCAAAAAAATTAAAAAAAATAAATAATAAAAAAAGAAATATGTTTTTGATAGGATTTATTAACTTCTATGTTCAATATAGATAAGGACATAAGGACATAAGGTTGCTTAGCTTATGACTTCAGCAACCTTTAGCACGGACCATTTAAAAAGTGGAATGACACAGTTGACTCAAATACAGAAATTGTAAACTAAGTTATATTCATAAGATACTTCTTATTTCATAGCCATTATATCTCTGACATCATACCATTGTTATAACCATCATTTGACTGCCAAATTCCAAAAAAATAATTGGCTTCATTCCCCATGCACATTTCTTCCTGCTTCTGCTATTTTTATGTAGTAACAATACAAACAAGAATGATTACAAAAAATGTTAACAAACAATAGGACACAGATACTTGCCACTCAGAAAGAATGCTACTCATTGCATTAGAGCAAGATCATTGAGATTCCTAGCCATGATGGATCACTTGGAGGTCCAGAGGTCCCAGGGAAGGGGCAGGGGTAGCCAGTCATTCCAGGCTATGGGGACCAGGACACTCACAGGGCTCAAGGACAATGGCTATCTACAAACAGTAGAAAAATGTTCCTGTATTTTAACAGCTTATCTCAGCAGTTGCCCTACCTGAATATTACCGATGCTAGCAGTGGGTTAAAATTACTTGGCCCCCAATTTTCTGTTCTTTTTTTCTTTTTTTCTTTTTTTTTTAGATGGAGTCTGTCTGTCGCCCAGGCTGGAGTGCAGTGGTGCGATCTCGGCTCACTGCAACCTCCACCTCCTGGGTTCAAGCAATTCTCCTGCCTCAGCCTCCTGAGTAGCTGGGATTACAGGCGCGCACCACCACGGCCTGGCTAATTTTTGTATTTTTAGCAGAGATGGTGTTTCACCATGTTGGCCAGGCTGGTCTCAATCTCTTGACCTCATGATCTGCCCTCATCAGCCTCCCAAAGTGCTGAGATTACAGGTGTGAGCCACCGCGTCCGGCCTTTGGCCCCCAATTTTCTACTGGTCTATTATCCCAACGCGTTAGGAAGTTAGTAAAGCAGGTTGAATTTATTTATTTTGCTATCATTGCCATCAAACCTTTACTTCATAACTAGAAATAGATCATTATCTTTTTGTAGGAAGAGGCTGTAGAGAGGCTTTGTCAGCTGGACCCAGTAGGACTCAGCTGCTTCCTCCTGCCTGCCATATTGTGAGTCCTTGAGAGCAAAGGCAGGTCTTGGTCACCTTGGTGTTACCAACACCTGACACTGGGCCGGGCACATAGAAAGTGATTAATCAGTGTTTGTGAATGAATGAACAAGTTTATTCTTGATTTATTCTAGGTCCAGCACTAGTAGAAAATGCAATGACCCATTTTCCATTCCTTTTAGGTAAAGATGTTCTAAGCACTTTGGCCCCATTTGCTTACCTAATGGGATGCCAAGGTGGTCTTTGTATCTAACAACTGCCTTCTTATTGTGAAGGGCAGGCACACACTTGCTTATTGGCAGGGTGATTGCAGAGCAGCTCTGTTCAAAGTATGTTGGGTTGCTCATCTCCAAAATGCTTCACAGAGAAAAAGCACTGGGGGCTTACATAATCTCATCTCATGAAAGTAAAAGAAAGAGAGAAGGGGAAAGAGGAGAGGCAAGGAAAAAAAATGCTTTTAGCTAGAATTAAAATTAAATTAGTGCGTAGCAAAGGAGGGCAGGGAGTGCCATTGCATATTAACAGGTGGGAAAAACATATATGCAATTGATGGCTAATGAAGAGAGATGGTTGCGGGGTATGAACAAGAGAGAGATCCACTCAAGGAAACTGGGGTGGGGGAGGTGTTTACATTCACCAAGAACAGGTTTTCCTGGGCTACGTAGCATGAATTTTCATCATGCCTCTCTACCTTCTCTACTCAACTTCAATCACTTCACTCATATTAGCCAACAATTACTTGATGTTGAAATCAGTATGTGCTGATAGCATTCAAGTCAGAAGGCAAAATTCAAAGGATGGGAATCTCAATGGGAGAGGAAGAAAGAGAGGAAGACACCAAATCAACTCAAAGCTTTCTTTCAGTCAAATGCAGCACATTTTTATCACTCTTAGCTTCAAAACACACACATTGCCAGGCAGAATTAAAAGCACAGATCAAATAGCTCTATGTGCTTGTGTGTAGACTGCAAATCTTGTTTCAGAGTCAGGATGCATCCTTCCACTGGGCAAGGGGGAGTTATTCCCACAGAGGAAGATGATTTTTAATGAATAAAGGTCTAAATTATATGCATCCCTTTCCAGTGGAAGGGAGGCAAAGCTGAAGTGAGGAGACTCCTGTGGAGGCGAGGCCTTATGAACATTTGCTCATGTCTGCTGGATCACCAGAGATCAGGAAAGCAGGACTCTTGTTGGCTTTGCCTCATGGCAGGGCTCTTGTTGAATGGGAATAATCAGCAAACGACAATAATTGATGGGGAGCAGGTGAGTGATATGAATCATCAGAAAGTTACCTGGCAGTATGACATGGACAAAAATGTGTATCCACAGGAGGTATACCACAATTTGGCGTTAATTACCTGTGAAATCAAAAGTATTTGAGACAGGTCTCAGTCCATTTAGGTTTATTTTGTCAAGGTTAAAAACGCAGCTGTGATACAACCTCAGGAGGTCCTGATGACATGTGCCCAAGGTGGTCGGGGTACAGCTTGCTTTTATGCATTTAAGGAAGACAAGAGACATTAATCAATATGTATAAGATGTACATTGATGTACATTGGTTCAGCCAGGAAAGGCGAGACAACTGGAAGCGGGTGGGGATGGGCAGGGGTGGGGGTAGGTTCCAGGTCATAGGTAGATAAGAGACAAATGATGGCATTCTTTTGGGTCTTTGATCAGCCTTGCACTGAGTACACAGTTTACATATGAGACGAGTGGGGTTGGGGGGTAGAGGAATAGTCACTTATGCCTCAGTCTGGCTCAGTAAATCTGCATTTTTACATAAGCAATAGGGCAGAGGAAGCCATCAGACATGTATTTGTCTCAGGTGAGCAGAGGGATAACTTTCTGTCCCTGTGAAGATAAGCTACCATTTACATTTCAAGGGTGAAATTCAACAGAACTGTTTTGGGGTTAACATCTCAAGGTCCACAAGGAATTTTCTTGTGGGCAAATTGCGAGGGAGGTATGTAGCCTTTTTATCTTTGTAGTTGTCATATTTAGGAGTAAACTGGGAGGCAGGTTTGTCTGATGCAGTTCACAGCCTGACTTTTCGCTTTGGCTTATTGATTATGGGGTCCCGAGATTTATTTTCCTCTCACTTACCCCAGTGGTGGCACCTGAGTTTCTCTCACTGTCTCATTCCTGTAAAATGCATAACACGAATTATGAGCACTTGGAACCTACTGGTTCCTAGGGATTAATTAACAAGATGATAGGAAAACCTTAAACGGCCTGGCTAGACATGGCAGCCAGAGAGTCAGGGCCAACCTTGGTGACAAGCAACATTCAGTGTCAGGGGGAACCACGGTATGTTTAGAATAAGTTGAACATGCATTTCAATATAGCATCTTTATTTGTGCGATTGTTAGAATATACAGTTTCTCCTAATACCAGGAATAATTTCTATATTTTCCATGACCATTGTATTCAGTCCAATGTTCTATTTGCGGGAAGTAGATCCCGCAAAATAAAATAAAGCACTTTATATTCCATAAGTGGAATCAGGCATCATAGTTTAATTTGGTTTTTGATAAATATTTTCATAGAAAGTATCATCTGGTGTTCCCCTTTGCATCTGTGATATATCTTCATAGTCATATATGTTTTTCTGTGCTTGCACAAACCTGAATCTTCCTCATGTCTTTGTGAGAGTTCATCTGTGAACCCCTATGCCTCTTGATAACAGAAAAACTTCAGCTGAATTAAATTTAAAGGAGTTTAATTGAGCAATGAATAATTTGTGAATCAGGCAGCCCCCAGAATCACAGCAGATTCACAGAGACTCCAACGCAGCCACATGGTGGAAGAAGATTTATAGACAGAAAAGGGAAATGATGTACAGAAACTGGCAGTAAGGTATGGAAACAGCTGGATTGGTTACAGGATGGTGTTTGCCTTATTTGAACACAGTTTGGACACTTAGCAGTCAACGAGTGGTTGAAGTAGGGCTGCTGGGATTGGTCAAGACTCAGCTATTGTTACAGGCACATACTCCTAAGTTAGGTTTTCAATCTTGTTTGACTATTAAGCTAGGTTACAGTTCATCCACAAGGACTCAAATATAGAAGTATGGAGTTCTTTCTCAGGCCATATTAAGTTTGCTTTAACACTCTGAAAACTTGAAAAAGTGAATCTGAAAGGAGAATTTCCAGTTCAATACTGCTGATGGACAGAATGCTTGTTTTCTTACTTTTAAAATATTTCTTCATGAAACAATTATGGAAATAGAATTGTAGGTTACATGTGCAACCTCTAGTCCTCAAAAAAAATTAGTCCCTCAACATCTCTTCAATTTCCCTTTTATGTAATTGAGAAGGGCATTTTATTCTGATGTCAACTGTAACAGGGTTTGTGGTCATGTGTTTTTAACCTTGGTTGAGTCTTTATCTTTGGTAAGTCTTCTGTTTTTCTTTTGTCACACTTGTCAACAGCCAGACAATGGTGTTTCATGATTTTCCAATCACTCCTTGGGTCTCCACACCTCCCAACTTCATTTATCTTTGTCTCTATGACTTTCTATCCATCCACTCACCCATCCACTTATCCACCCATCCATCCATCCACCCATCTATTGACCCACCCATCCATCCATTCATTTGTACCCCCATCTATCAACTCATCCGTCCATCCACCCATTCACCCATTCATCCATCCCTCATTTATCCATCCATCTACCCATCCATCCATCTACCCACCTACCCATCCATCCACCCATTTTTTTCACCAATCCCTCCATCTTTTCACCCATCCCTCCATCCCTCCAACAATTCATCCCCCCATATATCCACATATCTATCCATTCATGTGCTTATCTCCCATCCATCCACATATCTATCCATTCATCCACCTATCCCCCATCCATCCATCCATCCACCCATTCACCCATTTATCCATCCATCCATCTACCCATCCATTCATCAATTCATCCACTCATCTAGCCATACATCTATCCACCCATTCACCCATTCACCCATTTATCTACCTATCCATCCATCCATCCATCCATCCATCCATCCATCCATTCTTTCCAATTCTCATTCCAAAAAGATTTCAAGACATGTTACAAAACATATGCTATACAGCAGAATGGGAATAAACAAAAAAAGACAAAGAGAAAATGGTAAAATGAAGCCCAAGATAAAGTCAGTCCACAAGACTATTTACCAGAAACCTTGTAGAAATTATCAAAAGGTAAATCACAGATATGGCTCTATATTTTCTAGCAGTTAAAGCAAAGAGGAGAACCCAGCCTGGCCGAGACTCAGAGGCTTCACAAGATAGACTCCAATCAGATACCAAGAAACAAGTTCTTCTAACTTCACCTTATTTCCCCATCTTCCTGTCCATCACCACATGCCCCCAGCAAACTCTATTTTCCCATCTGAATTCATCATAGGTGAGACTAACTTTTCATTCCAGAGGTGGAGTTAGAGGTTGGCCCCTTGTCCTCGAAATGATGGGCTTTTACTCAGGGAATACAGACTCATAAGATATGGTTCTCCAAGTCTTTGTGGAGAAGAAACAGGCAGATTCTAGACAAAAAGGGTAGTGAAGGTTGATTACTCCTCCCTCTCCACACAGGATATAGCACATGGGAGTGAGAACAGGGAACAGAATGGTTCTCTAAGGGAGCTTGGTCCTTCCTCCTCCAGCCAGCAAAGGATGAGTGTGTTGGCAGCCCAGACTCAGCAGCTGCTAGAACTCTGAGGTCCTGCAGGCTCAGACTGTCACCAGCCATGGCCATCAAGCCCTCCCCATGGTGGCCAAGTGGGTGTAGTCCTGCTTCTTGTTGAGATGCCCAAGCATCTAGAGAGGGTGCTGTCATGCATAAGGGACCCACAAATGCCTTCAAAACATATGGCCAGACACCAGAATGACTATTAGGTTGGTGTAAAAGTAATTATTTTGGTACTTTTTCACCAACCTAATACATTCTCAACATCGCTTTGGTGCTTAAAAGCAAACTGTTTCATTATTTACTTGATACCAGCTTTATATTTAAAGCCTTCAGGCTTTAACAAAGTGGTATTTTCTTGAAGGCCTCACGACCCAAATAGCAGTGTCTCAAGTGCTCTTTAGCAAAATGTCATCTAATCCTGCTAATTCAACTTCATTCACCTCATCATGTGCTAAATTGAAATCATTTTTATCAAAAATGCACTTCCTTCTGCCATGAAATCTTGAATCAAATATTCCTGAAGTTTGGTAAAAAACTAACTTACTCTTACTTCACTGATATTATCCTTATTCTGATCTTACTGATGATGGCATGAGGATAAAATAGGATTACCTCTTCGTAAAACAGAGAACCAGGATGGCTGCCTTGTCTTTAGAATTCTAATGGCACCAGGAAATATTGTTGCTGAATCTGCTTGAAATACACTCCCATTGAGTAGATCACCCTGGGGCATACCATGCTTAAGGCAGGATAAAATAGTTTCTCTCCATTCATCGTGTGTGACTCCCAGAGGGCAGAGCTTCCCACCAGCAGGCCCTCTGGCAGCTGGGCCTGCGTGGGAGCCCCACAGTGGCCATGATGTGTCCTGATCCTCAACTTCCCAGACAGCCCTGGGCTGCTCACCTGCCATGTGCAAATAAAACTCCCAACATCAAATGAGAGGATTCAAAGAGGAGGAATGGGAGGTGGTGGGGAATACTCCAGATCTACTGTCTCTGCTCTCCTCCTCCTCCCCTTTCCATCATGAGAGTCACATCACTTTCCCAGGTACACGTGGGGAACAAAGAGGGGCCAGCCAGATTGATAACAACCTCTTCAGTCGTGGACATTAAAAGGGGAATACAGCTTGCTGTCTGCTCCCAGGAGACCCCAGGCAGCCTCCCCTCTCCACATTTGCTCTGCCCTCTTTTTCCCTCAATACTTCTCATTCTGGTTGTTAGACAACTTGGGGAGAAAACTGTGGCTCTGGGAGCTCCCACGATTGGATGTTTAAGATTTTTGGTTTTCGGTTTGTTTTTGTTTTTTGAGAAGTAGTCTAGCTCTGTCACCCAGGCTGGAGTACTGAGGCATGATCTCGGCTCACTGCAACCTCCTCCTCCCAGACTCAAGCGATTCTCCTGCCTCAGCCTCCCAAGTAGCTGGGACTACAGCAGCAAGTGCCACCACGCCCAGCTAATTTTTGTATTTTTAGTGGAGATGGGGTTTCACCATGTTGGCCAGGCTGGTCTTGATCTCCTGACCTCCAGTAATTTGCCCGTCTTGGCCTCCCGAAGTGCTGGGATTACAGACTGCACCTGGCCTTATGTTTGAATTTTATGCCTTTTGGTCAGGGATAAGAAATTAGAAATTGCCGGCATGACTGTAGACCAAAGAGTAACTGTGAACAAAGCAGGGGTCTTCGGTCAGGGCGATGGAGGTGCAGGTGTTTTGATCAGGATGAAGAGGTCCTTGTGTGATTATAAGAAAAGGCCAGAGGTGCATGATTTCAACAGTCCAGCTCCCAGCTAGGACAGCTTCTAGCGGGAGCGGAAGGAGAGGAAGGGCCAGACGTCTTGAGTCAGCAGAGTACAGAAAATGACCTTATTCATCTCGTGGCGTGGTATCTTGTTTGCCTCTGTTTCCTGAGTCAAGATTTTAAAATATGTTTTTGTCTATGCCCAAATATCTCTTAATCAACTGACAAGTGGATCAGAAGCCTCACATGGAAGCCTGACATTTGTCATGGGAGTTGGGGCAGTCACATCATGGAGCCACAGGCACTTAACTAAGTTATGCTGTCTGTGTTGTTCATGTTTGGAATCTGTGTCTTTCCCGACAGTCTCCAGAACAGTCACACGTAACTGGACTTCATCTTCGAGGCTGGGTATTGAACCAAAGTGACTCAGCACCTAGAGACAACAGGGCGGCCGGGGGGGGCACAGTGAGTTGGGCTAAGGAGCTAAAGCAGCCGGAAGGTTGGCTTTGCTTCTACTCTGCCATCTTCTGTTCATTCTAGAGTTCCTCCCTCAACAAATGAAGCTTCTGCATCGCCTGAGCCTCTCTTCTTGCTGGTGGTTTTGCCCATCCTTGTACTTTTAGATGTGTTGTCGTTAGAGGAGAGATTTGTGAACTCTGTGCTTCATTGTTTCCTTTTCTCTAGCAAAAGTATAATTTGGGGATTTGTGTGGTTACATTCTCTACTACAAATGCTGCAACTGGGAGCTTACGGTGTAACAGGGCCAATTATAGAAGAACATGGAGGTGTTACCTGGGAATTCCACACTGCTAACCTTTTCTGAAAGAACAATAGTCCTTGCTTTCTCCTCCTGGTGTCAGGCATGCAAACCAAGGATACTAAGTTTCCACCATGGTGCATTAAACTCAGACTGAAGTTTGAGCTCTGACTTGGGCTACAATTTGAATCTCACTTTGGAGAATTTTTAAATTGTGTGGAGGCTTAATCCCAAGCCAAACAGCTTGGGCCTAGTAAGAGCCAGGGGCTACGGAGTTTTGAGATAAATGTAAACGCCTTATTCCCTATGTCAAATAAATATACTCGTATTTACCGATATAGGCACGCAGATAGGGAGCAATGCCTATGCTTAGCTTGTACGGCTTATGTACAGTTTTTAGGTACGATGATCATCACATCGTTTTTCAAATTTGAATAAGAAACTACCAGCCATGTGTCAGTCTGCGCTTACCAATATCACCGGGGACTGCTTTTTACACACCAAACATGCCAACAAATCCTAAAGAAGAAACTTAAAAATGTTTACTATGGGCTGGGTCTGATGGCTCGTGCCTGTAATCCCAGCACTTTGGTAGGCCGGGGTGCGAGGATTGTTTATGGCCAGGAGCCTGGGCATCATAGCAAGACTTCATCTCTACATAAAAAATTTTTAATTAGCCTGACATTGTGGCATGCACCTGCAGTCCCAGCTACTTGGGAGGTGGAGGTGGGAGGATCACTTGAGCCCAGGAGATCAAGATTACAGTGAGCTATGATCACACCACTGCACTCCAGCCTGGGCAACAGAGTGAGACCATCTGTACAAAAAATTAACAAATTAGTTTTTAAAAATAATAAAAAATTTAAAAAGAATATTTACTGTGGCCAGTGTCATGGAGGAAGGAGTCTCTGGTTTGATGGAGGGCAAAAGGTATCTGGCTAAAGCAAAGAGAAGAATGGAAGGTATCTGTGGGTTCCCTCCATCCATGAACATCACCAGGGACTCAGGAGGCTGGGAACCTTGGGCTGGAGAGCAAAGCAGGCCCGCAAGCGCTGCGGCAGCCAGAATACAGTGACAGATCACAGCCTGGGAGGCAGGGAGTGAGAACAAGCCTGGAACCATAGCAAGACAACCAAGAGGGCCACCACAGGGAAGAGGGAATGGAACATCTCGCCCCAGCTCCAGCCATGGAAAGCCAGGTGCCAGGTGCCCACAGATGGAAAATCTGGCAGCTTGCAGGCAAGGAAGTTTGCCAGTTTCAAATATCAACCACTGACTTCTCATTGTTGAGTGTTAATTAAAGCTATTAATACCACCCAAAGGTCAGAGTTCCTGTCTTATATTTCAGATATTTCCCAGGAGTCCTGAAAGATGAAGGAATAGGAATACATAAACCCAGCAAAATAGCACACAGAACTAATTACCCAAGGCGACCCATGCAAGACTCCACTGACAGGCATGTTAGAATGACCTTTGTTCCCAGAGTGATGGTCTCTTGATACCTCTGTTTCCAGGGGCGGGCCTCCCACCCAGCAGATGAGCCACCTGGAGGTTTTTTTTCCTAGCAGGGCATTGTCTAAAGTCAGGCTTCTGTCCTGGGTGCTACCCTGGTATTGACCCTCTCTGTGATCTGTGATCTTAAGCTCGTTTCTAAATCAATGTTTCTAAGTATGTTCTACAGCTCATATTTTTTATATATATATATATATATATATATATATATATATATGAATCATAATTGTGTTGTTTTAAATTATTAGTGATTGCAACCCCTGAGGCTCTCAGAGCGATTTTTTTGTTTCATTGTTTTTCTAATGAATAAAGAAAAAAAATGTCTCTGTGCCTTGGTTCCTTGAATTGCTAACTAGATATACGGTAATAAGGTACTTCACTATCGTTCACAGTGGAGGGGAAAGACAGAATGATTAGAGGCTATTGAGATGGAAGCCACTGTTCATGGAAAGGTTGATTCTCATCAGGCAAGTCATGGGTTTGGAGAAGATTTTGAGAAGGGAAGAGGAAATAGGGTATTGGGGGGGCCACACCTGCACTGTTGCTATGTGAATTTGCATAAGCTTGCAAGGGAAGCTTATTTTCTCAGCTAGAAAACAAAACACATCATACATAGTTGAGTCTGTCTCCAGGACCAGCGTGCCTTCCATCCAGGCACCCATCCATGCATCCGTGCACCCAGCATTTTTTCAGGTTCTTTACTTCGTCTGACTGTCACAACTCAGGGGTGAGAGTGTAGGGCAGATGGAAGGAAGTGAGGTTAAAGGAGTGCTGAGGCCATGCTGAAAGTGGTGTCGGGTCTGACAGTGATGATGATAATGGTGGTGGTAAAGATGAAGGTATTTAATATGCATGTGGTGCTTTGCAACCTACAAGATGTTACCACGTGCATTTTCTCATTACAAAACTAGGAGTCTTGCCTGCAGTAACATACGGCCCGCTGAGTTGGGAGGCAGAAAATCTTAGATCTTAGATTTGCTCAGGTATGATATGTAAATCCATGCACAAACAAGCCAATTTATTGTATCGTCACAGGAAAAGCATGGCAAATTTTGCATCAGATTTGAGCGCCCAGGACTCTTGAAATATGGCTATGCTAATAGGGCTTGCCCTCAATAACTTCACATTTGAGTGGAAGGGGAGACCATGTGTACTTATAATTTTATGTAACCAGAAAGCAAAATATGCTGGGCGGGGTGGCTCATGCCTCTAATCCCAGCACTTTGTGGGGCTGAGGTGCACAGATCACTTGAGCCCGGGAGTTTGCGACCAACCTGGGCAAAATGGTGAAACCCTATCTTTACAAAATAAATAAAAATTAGCCAGGTTTGGTAGCATGCACCTGTAATCCCAGCTACTCAGCAGGCTGAGGTGGGAAGATTGCTTGAGGCCCGGAAGTGGATGTTGCAGTGAGCTGAGATTACACCACTGCACTCCAGTCTGAGTGGCAGAGTGAGACCCTGTCTCAAGAAAAGAAAAGAAAAGAAAGAAAGAAAGAAAGAAAGAAAGAAAGAAAGAAAGAAAGAAAGAAAGAAAGAAAGAGGGAAAGAAAGGAAGGAAGGAAGGAAGGAAGGAAGAAAGAAAGAAAGAGAGAGAGAGAGAGAGAGAAGGAAAGAAAGAAAGAAAGAAAGAAAGAAAGAAAGAAAGAAAGAAAGAAAGAAAGAAAGAAAGAAAGAAAGAAAGCAAAATATAAATATGGGGAAAATGGCTCAAACCATAAAAGAGGCTGGGGATAATTTAGGAAGGCTTCAGAGTGATGGAATTTGAACTGATTTCTGAAGGATGGATTCCAAGAGGAGGAGATGGACCAAAGGTATTTTGAGGAGGGAAATACCTTTAGCAAAATCTTGCAGAGAAAACATGCCCATTTTAAACGTTAATGAGTGGTTCAGTGGGGATATAGTCAGGAACAGAGCTGTGAGTGAAAAGGCAAAAAAGATAGCCATTCCCACAGTGAAGGGTCTTACGGGCACAGGCAGACACTATCATTATTCTATTTTTCAGATGGGAAAACTGAGGCACAGAGACAAGACAGAAAGCCAGGAAGTGAATCTGGGCCGTCTAGCTGTAGTGCCATCTTATTCAATGCTCCCTTAAAGGGCCTCTTCTCCAGGCCCTAAAAACCTTCTCCATCTTTCGCTTCTCCAGAGTACAGCAAGGCCTCCTGTCTACCTCGCAGGACGGGGACTCAGAACACTAACAAACCCCAACTCAAACTAGTTTTCACAAAAGAAAATGTACGACCTTGCAAAACAAGAAGAGCAGAGGTCAGGTGAGAGCCAGCACTGGCTAATTCAGCAGCTCAGCAAGAGCTCCAAGGACCTGGGTGTTTTCCAACCTCTCCAGGCCACCCTCCTCACGGGCCAGCTTCCACCTCCACCTGAATGCTGAGCCTTTGCCTAATTTCCTCCCTGATTTCAGTTCAGGTAACACTTCCCAGGGGCAGACTTTCCTGCCTCCCTCCTGTGGTCAGTCCATTTTCCCAGCTCTTGGATCACACCTGGGTTTGCTGCAGTTTCCCTTATTACATGATGCTGCAGTTAATGTCAGCCCTCCCTATTAGACTCTAAGCTCCATAAGGGCAGGAACTGTGCATTCTTGCTCACTGTTGTGACCCTAGAGTCTGCCACTCAAATATTTGTCAAGTGAGTGAATGACAGCTCTGTGCAGGGCCAAGGAACCCGAGCCACAATAAACATGCCATATTGCAAATGACTCATTACGATTCATTCTCCTCTGGTACACATTTTTTCCCTGAGGCACATTCCTATTGATTTCTTCTCCCCAAGAAGTATTCTCCTTTATCCTTCCTATAAGACCCACATTTTGTTCAGATAGCCACCCAATCCTCTCTGCAAGGTGATTCAGATTATACTTCTACCTTGAGGCATTTCACTAGAAATTGCTATCAGCCCAGGGGTGGTCCAGAATCTGAGGTTACCCAAGCTAACTAAAGGGAAGACGTATTCTATGCAGATGGGAGAAGGTGCTTGGAGGTTAGCAGGGTGCTGGTTTCCCCAGCTGCTGCTGGTGGTCATCGTGTAGCCAAGGTATTGCTAGTGCCTATGGAGAAAGCGGAGGGACTGGAGAGAAACTGAGTAGGTAAAAGTGGGCAAGGCAGGCCGGGCACGGTGGCTCACGCCTGTAATCCCAGAACTTTAGGAGGCTGAGGCAGGTGGATCACAAGGTCAAGAGATCAAGACAATCCTGGCCAACAGGATGAAACCCCGTCTCTACTAAAAATACAAAAATTAGCTGGGTGTCATGGAGCACGCCTGTAGTCCCAGCTATTCGGAAGGCTGAGGGAAGAGAATTGCTTGAACCCTTGAGGCAGAGGTTGCACTGAGCCAAGATCGCACCACTGCACTCCAGCCTGGGCAACAGAATGAGACTCCATCTCAAAAAAAAAAAAAAAAAAAGTGGGCAAGGTTTTGTGATGGGTGAGGACATAAGGGATAAGAGAGAAGATGATCTTAGAGAAAACCCTAATTTTTCCTTTTGGACAATTGTATGGTTGGACGGATGGATGGAAGTTCCAACCACTGTGATAGAAAACACTGGAAAAAATGAGATTCATCCAGGCAAGTCTTTCATACACTGTTTTATCATCGGTTTAGTAAATAAAGTGGAGTTAGAGCTCATCTCAGCCTTTTGTTTGCTTCTATCATACTGTGTTGTACCCTGTTTTTGTTTTGTTTTGTTTTGTTCTGTTTTGTTTTGTTTTGTTTTTAATCACATTCCTCCTGGTAGCAGACTTACCTACTAATGCTTGCACTTTCTCCTTATCAGCCTGGAAGTTCCGAGATAGCAGGAGCCGTGTATGTGTGCGCGTGCGCATGAGTGTGCACGTGTGTGTGTGTGTGTGTCTGTGTGTGAGAGAGAGAGAGACTGGATTCCCCACAGCACATTATTGTTTTTTCCATAGTCAGTGGTAGATACACATTTGCAGGATTTAGCTGGGCTCCAGCATTGTGGAGGTCAGATAACCACACTTTGGTGAACAAGTTGCATTCTAACCTTAGAGCAGGCAAAACGCCCCTCTCACCCAGATTGTTCCTCTTCTTCATGCTGGTATGTTTAAAGAGGTCATCCAGCAAGCTTCTTAAAAAGGGTATTGGACCTTTGCAAGTCTCAGTCTGCTTGGCAGGGTGACTGTGTCTCTGAATGTCCTGGAAGGAGGCTTGTCATCCTGTTGTCTTTGGGTGAATGTACTACTCAGGAGGGCAGGGATACACGCACCCCCTTCCATGTTAATGGGTTTGCAATTATTTTGGCAGATCTAAAATAATATTTCAAAGGCAGTGGAGAAGCAGCTGGGGACACTACTTGTAATTGTTTAATATTGTTATCACATTTGCTTACAAGAACAGAGAGGCAAGCTGCCATCAATCAGAGAAGAGCATAGTCATCGACGGTGATCATGGTGCATGCGTTGGGATGTCATGGCAACTGTCCCTTAGTCCTGGACTTGATTACTTCTGCTGCATTCCGGTGATAGCTGAGTTGCTTCATTAACTTTACTTTCGTCGACCTCATTTGTAAAGGGGAAGCTAGAAAACAGCACTACACAGGGCTTCATGCACTGAAAAATTGACGTTGTCAAAGGAAGCACTATCTTCTGTCTTTCTGTCCTTCTCCAAATGCTGTCTGTAACCATATGTAGTTGCTCATGGGTGTTATCATGGGTCACCAAGGAAGGGCTCAGCTAGAGGTGAAAAATTACACACACTCTAAACATGCCTTTTTACAGGTGAGAAAAATGAGGCCAGGAAAGGTAATGCAGTGCTGGATACAATCCCGTTTGGTGATCAGTCACCCCTGGGTTGCAATCTTGATTGTACCACTTGTTACAGATTGAGCCACTTATATTCTTATTTTTGTTTTGTTTTGTTGTTGTTGTTGTTGTTGTAGTTGAGACAAAGTCTTGCCCTGTCACCCAGGCTGGAATGCAGTGGCATGATCTCGGCTCACTGCAACCTCCGCCTCCTGGGTTCACGAGATTCTCCTGCCTCAGCCTTCTGAGTAGCTGAGATTACAGGTGCCCACCACCATGCCCGGCTAATTTTTGTATTTATAGTAGAGATGAGGTTTCACCATATTGGCCAGGCTGGTCTCGAACTCCTGACCTCAGGTGATCCACCCGCTTCGGCCTCCCAAAGTGCTAGGATTACAGGCATGAGGCACCGTGTCCGGCCCACTTAAATTCGTCTGAGCTTCAGTTTGCTTATCTGTGAAATGGGGGTAATAGCAGGTATCCTGCAGGGCTGCTGCGAGAATTACAACTCAGGCAATGATCATGGCACCTGGAACAGAGGTGTTTAGTACCCAGGTGCTGTAATTATGTCTAAGCTCACAAAAGGAGATTTTGAGAAAGCTGGAATTAAAACTTGTGTCTCCTGACTCTGATCTGGTTGGACCACACTGCTGTGCTTGAATAAAGAGGCCCTGGAGACTCTCAGGGAGGGCATTTGTAACACCTGCTCAGGACAGTTTCATTTACTTTGTACCAGCATTGCACAGGTTGCCAGAAGTGTTACTCATGTGAGTTGGTGGACTTTTGATCAAATATTTGCCCTAAACGCAGGTCTCTGTGGCATTTTACGGAATCCTCTGCATCCTTATAAGGGACATTGGAGGAGCAAATGGGTTGCAGAATGAGTTGCAAATAAAATGGCCAATCTCAGTATGAAAGGTGCAAGACGTTACCTAAATGAGGGTGAAAAACACTCCATTTAGATAGATACAAGCAAGCTTAAGTGACCACGGAGCCCGCTGGAAACAAATAACATGCTATGTAAAGGCTTAGTAACAGTGATGGATATTTGAACTTGAACTTCAGCTCCAGAACAGTTCTGTGGCCTCTCCCAGGAACAGGAGTCAAAGCACATCAGGATTCTTGAAGGCTCTGAAAGGTGAATGAGACTTCTAGTATATGTCAAGACTTTTCCACTGAAGAAGGGCTTTGTGTATAGAGACTTAGAAAGGAGACCAACCTGGGCCCCTTCACTACCAGAAACAAAGATGGGGGACTGCCCAATTAAGTGGCCCAGGAGCTCTACCCAGGAGCTTGAGCCTTCTAGAGAAATCCAGTTTTCCTATGCAGGAAGAAGGCTAGGAGTTTTCTGGCCCCATGTATTCTGGCTTTGTTTTCATGAAGCTATCTCTTGCCCAGCTGGCAAGAGAAATGGAATTTTATGCAGTTGCTGAAAACTTCATCCAGAAACCCAAAGATGCTGGCATGAAGGAATACTGCTGGGGCAGAGCTGGAATGATGGCCAAGCCTGTGCCTGCAGGGAGTCTTGGGAACAGGACTGGTTCGAACTAACAGGAGTGGCTCAAACTCGCGGCCTCTCAATATACAAGAAATGTTGCAACAGTTTCGCTCCAGCTGACTGCCTACCTCAGCAACTTGCAAGGGTCATGCAGCCTCGGTGGTTTTAGTTTTGTTTTGTTTTTTGTTTTTTTGTTTTTTTTGCAAATAGTTTAAAAGGTTTTTTAATATTGAAATTTCCAAATATATTCAAAAATAGAATAGTATAATGAAGTTCCTTATATTCATTCCCCAGCTTCTATAATCATCAAATAAGTATCAGTGTTCTATACCACTGTAGGATGATGATAGTTAGCAACAATATATTAAACAGTTTCAAATGGCTAGAAGGAAGATACTGAATGTTCCCAACACAAGGAAATGATAAATGTTTGAGATGATGGATATGTTAATTATCCCCATCTCATCACTATACAGTATATGTATTGAAACATCGCTATAAACCCTGAAATGGTTTGGATCTGTGTCCCCACCCAAATCCTGTGTTCAGTTGCAATCCCCAATGTTGCAGGTGGGTCCTGGTGGGAGGTGATTTGTTCATGAGGGTGGTTTCTCATGAATGGTTTAGCACCATCCACCTTGGTCATGATAGTAAGTGAGGTCTCGCGAGAACTAATCATTTAAAAGTGTGTAGCAGCCCTCCCCTACCCCCCACCCCACTTGCTCCTTCTCTACCCGTGTGATATGCCTGCTCCCCGCTTCACATTCTGCCGTGATTGTAAGTTTCCTGAGGCCTCCCCAGAAGCCAAGCAGATGCCAGCATTATGTTTCCTGCACAGCCTGCAGACCCAGGAAGCAATTAAACCTCTTTTCTTTATAAATTACCCAATCTCAGGTATTTCTTTATAGCAATGCGAGACTAGACTAATACACACCCCATGAGTATGTACAATTATTTGTCAATTAAAAACGTTTTTTACGTATAAAAAAAACCTTGTGAGCTTGGTGGCTTTTTATGGCAGGGCAAGAACATATGTCAATCTGCCAGAAGTCAGTCTTGTTGTAATTGATTTTAGCAATGGCTACTTTTGTGTTATGTGATGCTTTATATGCATTTTCTCGTTTAATCCCCACAACATCCTTTACAAAGCAAAGGCTTTGATTTCCATTTAACAAATGGAGACAATGCAGCTTAGAGAGGTTAGGTAATTTGCTCAGAGACAGCGTTGTTAGGGGATGAGCTAAAGTTAGAACCTAAGTCTCTCTAACATCTACAGGTGCACTTTCTAATAGTGTAACAGCACTAGCTAATGCTAGTAGAAAACCATTCTGTGCCAGACACAGGCTTTCCATATCTTGGCATAATCCTTACTGCAACCTTCTCATGTGAACACCATCACTAGCATCCTCTCCATTTAACCAATGAGAAAATGGAGGCATGAGGAGTGTAAGTAACTTGTTAGTTTCCAGAGTTCAGAGTTGTAGGTGGGAAAGCCTAGGTTCAAAGCCAGCCGGAATGGCCCCCAAGTTCACGCTGTCAACCCTAAAGCCAATGGTTTTCAGCAAGGAGTCCCTGGAATGCTAGCATCGACATGCTCTTAGGCTTGTGAGAGATGCAGGTTTTCAGGCCCGACCAGTAAAATCAGAAGTTCCAGGGGAGGAGGGAGCGACCTGTTTGAGACCAGCCTTCTGGGATTCTGAGACCTGCTCCAGGGATGTTGCTTTGCCCTTTCACACCTCTCAGTGGCATTCACTCCAGGTAACAGGTGACTGTAGCTGATAGCCCCTCTTTTAAACTCTTACTCCTCAAAGCGTGGTGTGTGAATAAGCAACATTAGCATCACCTGGTGGCTTGTTAGAAATGCAAAATTTCCAGGCCCATTTTGGGCCCACTGAATCAGAATCTGTGTTTTTTGTTTGTTTTGGTTTTTTTGTTTTTTGTTCTGTTTTGAGACAGAGTCTCACTCTGCTGCCCAGGCTGGAGTGCAGTAGTGCGACCTTGGCTAACTGCAATCTCCGCCTCCCAGGTTCAGGCAATTCTCCTGTCTAAGCCTTCCAAGTAGCTGGGACTACAGGTGCACGCCACCATGCCCGGCTAACTTTTGTATGTTTACTAGAGACGGGGTTTCACCAGGTTGGCCAGGCCAGTCTTGAACTCCTGACCTCAGGTGATCCACCCAACTCAACCTTTCAAAGTGCTGGGATTACAGGTGTGAGCCACCACACCCGGCCAGAATCTGTGTTTTAGCAAAGTCCCCAGGTGATTCATATGTACATTACAGGGATAAAGTACATGACAGGGTGAGGCATACTGATCTAGGTTACAGCAGGGTAAGATCACACCCAGAAAACTGCTCTTAAATCCCATTGCTTTCCAGTCAGGGAGGAGAGCAAAGCTGCTCTCTGACAGCCAGCCAAGATGCCCACACCTCAGTGCCATGTGAAGGGACATCAGCCAGGAGACAGGCTTTGCAGCTAGCAGGTTGTGTGCTGGTTAAGGCAAGAGTAGCTGCTGTAACAGACAGGCCCCCTGGGTCTCAGTGTCTGCATGTCATAGATGTTTATTTCTCACTCACGTAAAATCAAAGCAGCAGGGAGGGCTCTGCTCCCCAAAAAACTAGAAGTGATCCCAGGTTTTCCCCCTCACCCTCCACTAACTGCAAGGAAAGGTGGAAAATGCATGCTCAGGAAGAAGGTTTGGGGAACAGCCACCAGTCTCTACCATAGTTCTCTGGAAACGTTTAGCTCACATTGTTCATTTATTCATTCAACGAATTAATAATCTACTGAGTAGTGAATAAGATTGATTTATACATCCATGTGTTCATTTATTCATTCAGCAAACATTTGCTAACAGCTGCTGTATGGAGGAACTTAAAATACCAAGAAGCTTGGCATCTAGAGGGAAGCAACCTGCATAAGTGCTCTGGGAGTATGGGAGAGGGTATTGGCATCAGGCAGGGAACTCAAGGAAGGCTTCCTGAAGGAAGTGACACTGAACTGAGTTTAGACCTAAGAAAGAAATAAACTAGGCAGAGGGACATATGAAGGCTCAAGACTTCAGAAAAAAAAAAGCAGTGTACGTAAAGGGATGGAGGAACTCGGCTTGGGAAACAGATGTCGGTAGGCCGAATGGTGGTGTCAGGGATGATGGAGGTATAAAGGAATATAATTCCTGATGATTTGCCTATCTCCTGGGAGATGGAAGGAAGTGGACCCATTGTCAGGCCCATCCTGGCAAGAAAAGATGCAAATAGCTCTGTCCACACACTTACCTGTCATCCTCATGCCTAGTTGCCCAGGAAAAAAAAAAAAAAAAAAAGCAGATGACATTGAACTTCCTCCCTAAAGTGTCCTTTGTAAGTCTGCAAGAATCAAGGTGCAAGCTGCTTCAAATTAACCCATATTTTATAGTCCTGGAACAGCTGTCACCTGCTCTGCCCTGGAGAACTCATTACCTAACAGAGGGATATGCACATTCCACATATTCCCTCAGCCTTGCTTGGCCATGGGCTTTCTGAGAAGCTGGAAATCACATCTCCTCTAAATTGTTACTCCCCAAATAAGTCCCTTGGAAGGTCTGTGGGGCAGGATGCAAAGTTTTGTCTTTCATAATTAGGGAGTGATTAATTATTTAATCAGAGCAGAGAGCAGCCCAAACAATGACACCTCCTCTCATTTGTTGGGCTACAGGCCTCCATTAATCACAGATCCTGACATTCTGCATGCAAAAGGGACAGGTGGATTTGAAGCTTGGTGTTGCGATAACCTCACTACTGCTCCCTGATCTGCTTCCAAATGCTGCCAATGTGTTACGGCAAACATCACCATCAGCAGCCCAGGCTTCATTCCTAGATGAACGTCTTAGGAAGGGGAACGTTATATCTGCACATCAAGGCATTTCACTCTGTCCCTTCTCCTCGTTCAGGTACCTGGGGTTTGGCCCCACCATTCCGTCTCCTGCTGGTAACAGGTTCTGTTACTGCAGGTGTAGTTTTAAGGCTTGTTTGAGCATATGAACCGCTCACTTTGCACCTCTTCATTCTGGCCTAAGGATGCTCCCGATAGGTGCTGTTCTAACACCTCTTCATTCACAGAAGCTGCAGCCCAGGTGCCAGCAGGGACGGAAATGAGTCACCCTCTGCTGTGTCTATCACCCTCTGCATTGAGGGCTCACTTGGCCTGCCCTGAGTGCTTTCAGGTGACTCTTGTGTTCCTTGGCACCACTCATGGCCACCTCCTTGATCTGCATGCTCAGTTGGAAACTAAGACCTCCTCCAACAAAGGCCTACTCAGGCCGTTGGGGTTCTTAGCTCATCCCTGGAGAAATACATCTGGCTGGCTGTGCAGGAAGGAGATTCATTAAAAGGTAGGTCACTCAGGAGGTCATGGAATTTCCAAGAGAGCCAGAGAGTTGTGGGGATTCAGGGTTATATAGTCAGTGATATGGTTTGGCTGGGTCCCTACCCAAATCTCACCTTGAATTGTAATAATCCCCACATGTCAAGGGTGGGGCCAAGGGGAGGTAATTGAATCATGGGAGCAGTTTCCCCCGTACTGTTCTCGTTGTAGTAAATAAGTCTCATGATATCTGATGGTTTTATAAATGGGAGTTCCCCTGCACAAGCTCTCTTGCCGGCCACTGTGTAAGACATGACTTTGCTCTTCCTTCATCTTCCACCATGATTGTGAGGCCTCCATAGCCATGTGGAACTGTGAGTCCATTAAACCTCTTTTCTTCATAAATTACCCAGCCTCAGGTATGCCTTTATTAGCAGTGTGAGAACAGCCGAATATAGCCAGGAATTGATGCCCAAAGTCCCACCACTGAATGCCTGTGCCAGAAAACAAAAGTTTGTAAGTCAAGACTCTGGGCATTCAGGGGAAGAAGATCCTGGGGTTTCTGATTCTATTTGGCCAGTGACTGAAGTTCCTTCCATCAAATTTCTGCAGAAATTTACAGAGTCTGGGTCCCCCAAGACTCTCTGTGACCTCTCACCTTTTCAGTGTGCTACCAAGAACGGCTCTCTCTCACCTAAGGTTGCCAAGCATGGCATCTTTAACTCTGGCAGTGGAGGCAACATTGAGAGGCCAGAATCTCCAAGGTGCTTGTTAAAATTCAGATTCCTGGGCCTCAGCTCCAGAGATTAGAGTTTAGTAGGTGTTTGGTCAAACTCATATGGAGGTTTGGAGTTTAAATTCTTTGGCAATTTCACAGTCTTTTAAAATATCACCATGTGGCAGGGTCTGCGCTGACTGCTTGGGTAATTTTGGCATCCAGGCCTCACCCCATCCTCTAAACAGGGCCACACTTCCGTAGCCAGGAAAAGACAATGGTCCTAGGCTTCCAGGTGACCCTAAATGTGTCCCCATGAGGCACGAGGGTACTTTCTAGGGACAGATAAACACCTCTCTGCAAGTATAGGTGCCCATATTGCCCATGTTGAAATTGTGCTGCAATTCAGTTCTTCTTGGAGGACCTACACTCACAAGGACTCCTTTCTGCTCACCCAGAAGAAGGCAAAAGTCCATCAAAAGGCACGGCCTGAAAGGCACCTAGCACGTGACAGGTACACAAGAAATATTGACTGAATGAATGAACGTAGCCAGCTCTTCAAACTCTACTTCCATTCTCCTTCCACCCTCCTTCCACCTTCTCTCTCCCACAGGTGACCAGCCTATCTTGCTTCTAGTGACCTTCAGCCTTCACCTAGCAATGCTGCCATTTGGTTGGGGCCTCCTTTCTCTTCTCATTGTCTGATGCTTTGGGAACCCTGAGCTCAATGAAGCAGGCTGCTAAATTCTAAGTGAGAATCTCAGAGACCCAGAGTCTGCATCTCCATGACATGAGAAACCCCTATCAACTTCTAGGAAATGGGGCTCCTGCTAGCTCAGAAGTAGAGGGCACTGGTCCCAATGATGGGAGGCCAACAGGTTGTTGCTTGTACAATTTTATAAAAAGATCCATCCTCCTTGCTAGGGCCACCTCATTAGCTGTTGGAGGCTCTCTCATTCATTCAGTAAATATTTCTTCAGTGCCTGTCACATGCTAGGCTCTGTTCAGGCTCTGCCTTGTGATGGACTCTTGCCTTCTTCTGGATTCATGGAATAGAGTCCATGTTAGTCTGGGTCCTCCAAGAAGACACCAAGACAAACTTCCTCATGCAAGGATTTTAGTAGGGGAAATGCCAGTGTCTTCCAGGAATCAGCTACCTTAGGTATCTCTGCTGTACTCAGTCACTGACATGGAACAGCCCACAGGAGGCAGGGCCTCAGTGCAAGCACAGAGATGCATTTCAATGCATAGCCCTGGGCCCTCAATCAGTGATGAGCTCTGCTGCAGGAGGTCTGCTAGGGACATTCTCCCAATGGCCACAGAGCCCTGCTTTTAACCAAAAACAAACCAAGAAAGCACAAGTAAATTTCAGCACCAAGACAGATGTAACATAACAGGAAGTTAGATACCTCTTCTTTGGATGGTGTAGCTTTGCTAGGCCAATAGCCATTTCCTCTCTTCTGGAAGCAAGGAAAAATTATGGCAGGTGAAGATAAATTATGTCAGGTGCTGGTTTGAGTTCACTGTCCTATTTATGGAGGGCCAGGGGACTGGGCAAGTATTTTTATAACATGGCATTTGTTTACTGCTTGTTTTTAAAGCTGCTATAAATGGGGTCTCTCCGTGGTGAGGAAGCTGAGTTCTGTAACCCACTGAGTCTCCTTTTAGCCCCCAGACCCTGTGATTGTAAGGCTTCCTCCACCCCTATGGCCATCTCAGCTGTCAAGCCTTTTTCATTTGTAGCATCAGAACTTGGTGGACCCCAAGGCAAGCAAAGGTTGGCGGTAACTCTCCGTATCTGCTTTCAGCCAAGGTAGAATACACAAGAAATAAAACACTGCATTATTTCTGTTCAATCCACCCATTCCAATGGGCTCAATGTGATCTTAACAGAGGAATGAACATGCAAAAACCACCCACCAGTGTGCATTCTTCGCTTGAATCCGAGGTGAACAATAAACTGTCGTGGCGGTTTCCAGGGCTTCCTAACATATGCTACACACGTTTCTGAAGTGAAACATGTCCCTGTGTTTCTTTCGGGTCTGGTTTCTAATAGAACAGAGTAATGATGCAAGGCATGCAATTTTCATAACCAACCCTTCCATTTGCATGCACAGAAGGTGCAATAGCCCGAGGAGAAAAACAACTAAGGCACGCATGATCTGATGTGTTTCTGAATATTGGTCCTGTTTTCCTAGTGCCTTGAAAATGATGCTTGCCAACTACTTCTTCAGCCATTCACTGAAAGCTATTTATTGAGTGTTTATTATGGGCAATGCTTCTTTCAGAGAATGCTATACAGCCAGCAATGCTGATAGTTAAGGGTGTGGGCTTCCAAGGAGCTCAGTGGAGTTTTAAGTTGATGTCTGTCTTAGTCCATTTGCATTGCTATGAAGAGATACCTGAGGCTGGGTAATTTATAAGAAAGGAGGCTTATTCTGGTTCTGCAGACAAGAACCATGGCACTGGCATCTGCTTCTGGTGCAGACCTCAGGAAGCTTCCAATCATGGTGGAAGATGGAGAGGGGGCAGGGATGTCACATGGCAAGAGAGAGCGGGGAGGGAGGTACCAGGCTCTTTTTAACCACCAGTTCTTGTGCAAACTAAGAGCGAGAACTCACTCATTACCCCAAGGACAGCACCAAACCACTCATGAAGGATCCTTTCCCATGATCCAAACATCTCCCACCAGGCCCTCCCTCCAACACTGGGAGTCACATTTCCACATGAGATTAAAAGGGGACAAATATCCAAACTTTATCAATGTCTATGAGTAAGGGAGAGGAGAACAATTATATAAGCAATATCCTCATCTCTGGGAAGAAGACTCTAAGACTAGTCATAGTATAGCTAACTAGGGAAAAGTAATTATTATTTTTCGTATATATTTGTGATTTTGTGAGAGCTATGAAATAAGTGATAAGAGGCCAACCACAGATGGCCTGGGACTTTTGCATTAGTTGTGATCAAGGAATAGCCAGATTTGCCTATACCTGCAGCGTGCAAGGCAGTAGCCATCAGCACAGGTGTCTATTGTCACTTGCAGAGTGACTCTGAAATGAGGTGTGCTGTTACTATAAAACACACATTGGATTTTGAAGGTGACCTGCTCTAGACTGCAAGCTTCCAGGGGACAGGCTCTCATTTGGTCTCCTTAGAACACAGCACAGTCTCTGGAATATCCTAGGTGGTCTAAGAGGCTTGCTTGGTGGGTGGGGGAGTGAGTGTATGGGTAGCAGGTAGGCAGTCATGTCTTATGTCACTGTGTGCCCACTCTTTCTATCCCATTCTTTCTCCTCCTACAGTACTTCAGTACCTTCTCCCACATCCACTCACAACTTGCTCTTTGGCATTCAGTATGCAGAGGGCCGGCATGGATCCAGTGCTGAACCCCTCAGCATGTGCTAATCCCAGTAGCTTAAATGGGATTTTGCAGGCTGAGATGCCTACCAGCGGATCTGCAGGATTCTGAAACTCTCTGAAAGGGGCTTAAGCCTAGACACCCAGATTTCTTCCCTGTTTGGTACCTCTCAAATTTCTCCAAAAAAATGTCAGCTGACCCCAAAGAGGCATTGGGCCATTCTCTCTTTCATCTGATAGCTGGGGTTTTAGGGAGTGATTCTCTGGCCGCCATCTCTGCATTGAGTCTTCCTCCACGCCCCTCCCTCATTGTCAAATTTGCAGTGGTCATTCCTTTCTGCTCTTTTTGGGTCTTCCTCTCCTACATTACAGGTGGTAAATGAATGAGAATTGAGGAAACGGAAAAATGGGCTTATTAGAATTATGGCTAAAAATAGGAATAAATCCATTCCAAGTGAAGACTTGAAGAACCATCTTCCAAATGATGGACAGAAGCTTTGGAGCATGGGTATATGCCCTTTCCGCTGGCTCTTCCTGGGGTTTTTGAAATCAATGGAAGTGAGCCCTGGGACCCCAGCTGGCTCAAATGAGGCTCCTTAAGCCCTACCTGTGTCTCCGAAGTAGGACCTGGCTGGTGGAAAGGCCAGAGCTTACTCACAAAGAAGAGAGCCTGAGGAAAATAACCAAAAGGAATTGGGAATGAATCCACCCAAGTCTGCAGGAAACTAGCCCAAGCCATCTTCCCAGAACTTTTGCTGGCGCACACAGTCGGCAGTGAGTGACCTTTCAGAGAAGCCACAGGGAGAAGACAAAATTTCCAAAAGCAGCCATACCCACAAGTACGTGTGCTTGAGCCTTTGAAGGCACCCCCTACTGAGACTGCAGGCCAAGGCTATGCCCTGCTGGAGTCTGGCCGACTCACAGTAGCTCTCGCATCCTTGGCGATAGGATGGGCTGGGGGTGAGGTGGGATGCAGAGCAGCAGAGGCTCGGAGATGTGACTCCCAGATTATTCAGGTACAGATAAAGGTGTGCTTTTCAATAATAGGAACCTGCTGGAGGAGAAGGAGGAGAAAGAAGAGGAAGAAGAGAACAATGGCAGCACACACACACACGCACACACGCGCGCGCACACTCATGCATTTCCAAATAGGGCTTTACAATAGCCTTTGACCAATTAGAGTGTTACTAAATAGCCTTCGATTTGGATAACTTGAAGAAATAAGCAACAAATAATTTCTGAAAATGGCTTTTTTATGTACAGTGGATCCTTGAACAACATAGGGGTTAGGGGCATTGATACCCCTTTCAGTCAGAAATCTAGGTATAACTTCTGAGTCCCCCAGAATTTAACTACTAATAGTCTACTGTTGATCTTCACCAGAAGCCTTATCAATAACACATACAGCCACTTAACACATATTTTGTATGTTCTATGCATTCTATACTTTATCCTCACAATAAAGTAAGCTAGAGAAAAGAAAATGTTGCTAAGAAAATTGCAAGGAAGAAAATATATTTTCTACTCATTAGGTGGAAGTGGGTCTGGATCATCATAAAGGCCTTTATCCTACTCATCTTCACGTTGGGTGGGCTGAGGAGGAAGAGGAGAGGTTGGTTTTGCTGTCTCAGAAATGGCAGAGGCAGAAGAAAATTCACGTGTAAGTGGACCCTGGCAGCTCAACCGCATTGTTCAAGAGTCAACTGTATAACTTTTAAACGATGTATCTATGTATATCTATTTTTGAAAATACAATAATAATGATGACAAATGAAATGAAAATCAGCACACCAGGCAGGATTCTTTGAGCTGGTTTTCTCCTAAGTCCACAGAATACAACTCTGTAGGGGATTCCAGTCCGAACCTGTACTAGGTCCCCAAGCTCCTTCTCCTCCAGGCTGCTCAGGACTGCCCTCTCAGTGAGTGTTTCACTCTTAACCCACACTTACACCGAGCCATTATTTAATAACCTCTTTGTCTGTCACTGTAATTGTAATAATTACACACATTGAGGGAAGGGGGAGTTGGAAGCATAGTTTCCTTTTGAATTTGGAAAGAAAAAAAGTTTAATCAGGGGGCCGGGCACAGTGGCTCATGCCTGTAATCCCAGCACTTTGAGAGGCCGAGGAAGGCGGATCACCTGAGGTCAGGAGTTCAAGACCGGCCTGGCCAACATGATGAAACCCCGTCCGTACCAAAACCACAAAAATTAGCCAGATGTGGTGGCAGACACCTATAATCCCAGCTACTCTGGAGGCTGAGGCAGGAGAATCACTTGAACCTGGGAGGCAGACGTTACAGTGAGCCAAGATGGCGCCACTACAGTCCAGCCTGGGCTACAGAGTGAGACTCCATCTCAAAAAAAGGAAGAAAGTTTAATCATTCCCTCCTATAAGCAAAGCCCAGTGTGAAGATGGGTGAGGTCCTGGTGGAGCTATTGTTATCTCTTGAAAGCTATTTTATTCTTTTGAAATAAATTGCAAGAAAATAGACACAACCACATCGAGACCGCCGCAAACTGCTCTCTCGTCTTCTACCCTCTCCTCTGTGCTCCTCCATCAGGCACACCTGCCAGATTAATCCTCCTAAAATGCCACATTAATCATGTTACTGCTGCTCACTGATCTACACAGCTCCTAATTACTTAGAGAATTAAATTCAAACATGGACTTGACTGCTCTGGGCCCTCCCCAGCTGGGCCACATTCCATGGCTGGCCCCCTTACCAACATCTTTCTGTGTTTCTACCCTTCCTTCTGACAAATGAGTCTGCTCACCGTTTCTCAAATTAATTGTGCATTTTCTCAACACCAAGCATTTGCTCACTCTATTCCCTGGGCCATAAAGCTATTTCATCATTCTGTTTGTCTTTTTCCCTCCCTCCCTCCCACCCTTCCTTCCCTCCCTTCCTTCCCTGCCTTCCTCCCCTCCCCTCCCCTCCCCTCCTCTCCCTCCCTTCCTTCCTTCCTTCCTTCCTTCCATAATCATGGAGTATCTACAATGGATTAGGAGCTGTGGGTGAATCCTACTCCCTCCTCCACCTGCCCTGCAGGATGTCCTCCCCCTCCACAGCACACACCACTTAATTTTTTGTCATTAGTTTGTCAGTTAGTCATAAAATCCTGTAACCACCTCTTATGCTACTCAAAAATATATTTACCTAATCTCTCAATAAGATTTCTCCCTGCCAGGATCATGGCTTATTCTTTTTGGTACATGACGTAATGCATTGCCCATAGTAGGTAGGTTTCATAGACATTTCTTATATGTATGAATTCATTGTGGATGAATTAATCCACAGTGAATTGATGGATTAATTTTATTAAAATTCATTCTTAATGACTTCTGTACTTTGATCTTTCCCTAACCATAGTGCTGCAAGCTTAGCTATCCCTGCAGGGTAGAGGACTGTGTAAGGTGAAGTAATTCCTGAGCTAAACATCTGGGCATTTTATAACTGTCCAATGGCAACAATAAAGCCTTGAGCCAAATCACAGCTTGGGATGTTATTTCATCATTCTCAGTGGATCCATGCCTCAGGGAAACCCATGGCATAGACAGACTCATGATTTTAAAAAGCAGAATAAATAAATCGAGGGTAGAATATTGCCTGTGCACCTGGAGGACATTATGCTAAGTGAAATAAACCAGTCATAAAAGGAAATAATGTAGGATTCCACTTACATGAATTCCTAGAAGAGTCAAATTCGCAGAGACAGAAAGCAGAATGATAGTTATCAGGGGCTAAGCTAGGGTAGAGAGGGAATAATTGTTTAACGGATACAAAATTTCTGTTTTGCAAGATGAAAATGTTTAGGCGATTACTTGTACAACAACATAAATGTAATTGACACTACTGAACTTAAAAATAAAGAAGGTAAATTTTATGATATGTGTACTTTCTCACATTTCTTAAAAATTTTTAGCATGCCTTTAGTCCCAGATACTTGGGAGGCTGAGGCAGGATAGCTTGAGCCCAAGAATTCAAGGCTGCAGTGACCTATGACTGCACCACTGCACTCCAGCCTAGGTGACAGAAGGAGACGCTATCTCTAAAACAAATAATAATAATAAAATAAAATACACAGAACTAAAAAATTTAAATAACCATTAAAAAGAAAAAAGTAACTGCTTGTGAAAGAATTCTGAGGTATGTTTGGCAGATTAAAACATTTCAATGGTGGCAGAAGAAAAATGCCTCTGCAGTGGTTTTCAGATAACAAGGAATTTACAGGTTTTTGTTTTGTTTTGTTTTGTTTTGTTTTGTTTTGTTAGCAAGAAAGCTGCTCTAATATATTTCAGGTGACTAGATGGACCATTTTTTGGAGTATCTTCCAGTCTTGCCGTCTCAATAAATGGGTGAATGCCTCCATTGTCCCGAATGTTTATTTCTGCATTCTCATCTTGAATAATTATAAAAGAGAATAGCCTTACAGATCACTTACAATTTATAAAATCTCTCAAGTTTGCTGTTTTCAAAGACAGGGATGTCCGTGTCAGCACCCCCGTTTCCACATTTGATCATGGGCAAGAAGGAATTTTTTTTCTTTTGAGTGAATTCTTTTCATTATTTTCATGAACCAGTTTCTCCTTATTTGATCTTCTAAACTAGACAAAGTTTTGGATGACCTTTTTATAAAATCCTTCTTCTATATTGGACAGCAGTTTGTGTATGCATACTTGTTTTTTTTTTAACCACATCTGTAGTATTTTCTATGGCTCATGGATAAAACACTTAAAAATAAAGAAAAGAGCTTTTTTTTTTTTTTTTTTTTTTACAGCATCTCGCTTTGTTGCCCAGCCTGGAATATAGTGGCGCAATCTCAGCTCACTGCAGCCTTGACCTCCTGAGCTCAAGTGATCCTCCCACCTCAGCCTCCCGAGTTGAAAACCTTTTTTACTTTTTTTTTTTTTTGGTGGGTTTGGGGGAGGGAGACGGAGTCTTGCTGTGTGGCCCAGGCTGGAGTGCAGTGTCGTGATCTTGGCTGACTGCAACCTCTGCCTCCCGGTTCAAGCGATTCTCCTGCCTCAACCACCTGAGTCGCTGGGATTACAGGCGCCCGCCACCACACCCGGCTAATTTTTGTAGTTTTAGTAGAGACAGGGTTTCTCCATGTTGGCCAGGCTAGTCTTAAACTCCTGACCTCAAGTGATCTGCCCACCTCAGCCTCCCAAAGTGCTGAGATTACAAGCGTGAGCCACCGAACCTGGTCAAAGCATTTTTAAGAACTGGAAATAATGTAAACTTCTAGGCATTACATTGAGAAGTTGACACAAATTCTTGATGAATTTTGCTCCAATTTTTCTGGCAGCTTAGACACAAAGGGAAACACACTGGATTATGTATTTTGTTCTGCGGCAGGAGAATATGTTCAAATTTAAGTGCAGGGGATGACAGCAATTGGGACACTCTATTTTTATGTCCTTTAAAAGAAACAACTATATATCTGTTGCCTTTTTCGTGTAACACTCATTTTACATTCTTTTGCTACTCTCTTCTCCTTCTTTGCAGAACTTTCACTTTCTTTGTAACTTTCATCCAACAGTGAAACAAACTGGAAATTATGGTCTACTAAGGAACTGACTATGGAAGAGAACAAATGAATGATTCCTTCTCAGGTTTTTCAGGGTACAATATCTCACCCATTGCTTCTTCTGAGAAGCTTCTTTGGAGGCTTTTTTTTTTTTTTTCTGAGATGCTTTTATTCAACCAGTATCTCCCTAGTCCATATTTGTTTCTCAGTCAAGAAACTATGTAGATGTCTAATCTTCCAGAGGGTGAGGAGCTTGGAATCTCTTGGGCTCTTCAACCCTTGGAGAGCCTTTCATGTAAGTGAAACAAATAGAAAGTAATAAGAGATAGGATATGAACAATAAGGTGGTAAATTGAATGTTATCAAGAAAGTACAAAAATGGGTGACCTTATCAATAAGTCAGAAAAGTGTGAAAAATTACATGACCTACAAAGATCTGGGAAGGTCTCATGGCAGCCAGAGACTTTGAGATTGTAGGAGTCCATAGGAATTTTGCTCTTGCCTCTTTCTACTTTTCCCCATTGAGTTTGTTTTTGTTTCTATGGAGTAATTTTCTTCTATCAGTCCTTTTTCATTTTATCCCTGCCCTTCAGGAATTCATTCTATTTCATCTCTTTAGCAAATATGAGGGGCATATCATTGATTCTTCAATTCTCTGTCTTATTTTTCCTATGCGAAAACCCAGCCTTTAAGTGTGTTCTTTCTCCAAGGCTATTTTAAGCAAACCATTTCCCCAGTCCTTCTTTTTGCTAAACAGGACTCCCTAATTGGGTTAAGTTCTTGATGAAGAGGTATCTGGTTTGTGTTGGTACAGAATTCTCATTTGAGTAAATAGTGAAGCTGTATACACATGTTCATTAAGGCAACATTCCAATTCAGACCCATTTCCAATCACATACCCCAGATATGCCAAAGAGTTTAAACCTCAGTCCTCATAATACTACTTCTCAAGTGTGCTGTCCTAAAGTAGAAGAGATTTCTAGAACCTTCAGACAGATTTGGTGATCAGTGCCCCCAAGGATCTGCTGAATAGTCTGCTCAAATGCACTTAATCAGTATCACAAAATACAACCCATAAATTAAGGCTAAGTGATGATGCATAGCTTATGAGTTGTTTTAAAATGCACTTATCTGAAAATAGAGCTGAAACTTAAGAAAGATGCTGGTCTCGCTAATAGTAAGAGAAATGCCAATTAAAGCGACATGAAAATGCCATTTCTCTCTACAGAGGGAAAAAAAGCCCACAGGTTGGCAATGAATTTTATTGGAGAGACCGTGAAGAATGAGGCACTTGCAGAGATTGCTGGTGGGAATGTAAGAAGGTACAGCTTCTATGAAAGGGAATTTGACAACATGTATAGCAAAATCACATATGCATTTACTCTTTGGTCCACTTCTGGAAATCTGCCCCTAAGATGGATTGCCAAAAATACAAAAACACTTATTCCTAAGGCTACTCTTTGCAGCATTATTTATCATAGCAAAAGAAAAGCAACCTGGAATAACCCAAAAGTCTATCCATTGGTGTCTGAGTAAATAAGTTGTGGTCCAGCCGCATGAAAGAATATCGCATAACTCTAAAAAGAAATGAGCAACTCTTCTATGTACAACCATAGAGTGATTTTCAGGATATATTATTATATGCAAAAGTGAGGTGAGAAAGTATATGCTGTTTTCTAGAAAAGGGAAGATATGAATATATACACACTTTTATTTATATTTTTAAAATACAGCAAAGTTCACCAATCACAAACACAGAATGGTTAACTGGTACCCACAGGAAAAATGATGCAGCAAAGTGAATGAGATAATGATAGAAGCTATGAGCTTTGGCTGTATCTTGTCTCAGAGATTTAGAATGATATAAACATGTTGCATAAATATTAAAAAGTTAACTTTAAACAACTCCTAAATATTTTTTAAAAAATCCTAAATATACATCGGTTGATGGCATAAACACACAGGGAGGAACTATTTAAAGCAACTTTTGGTTTATTTTATTACAATTTCAACTTTTATTTTAGATTTGGGGGTTCACATGCAGGTTTGTTACACAGGTATATTGTGTAACACTGAGGTTTGGGTTATAAATGATCCTGTCAGCCAGATAGTGAGCATAGTACCCAATAGGTAGTTTTTCAACCCTTGTCCCTTCCCTCTCTCCCCTCTCTGGTAGTCTCCAGTATCTATTGCTCCCATCTTTATGTCCATGAGTACCCAGTGTTTGGCTCCCACTTAGAAGTGAGAACATGCAATATTTGGTTTTCTGTTCCTGCGTTAATTTGCTCAAGATAATGGCCTCCAGCTGTATCCATGTTGCTGCAAAGAACATGATTTCAATCTTTTTCATGGCTGCATAGTATTCCATAGTGTATATGTACCACATTTTCTTTATCCAGCCCACCATTGCTGGGCACTTAGGTTGAGTCCATGTCTTTGCTGTTGTAAATAGTGCTGTGATAAACATACGAGTGTAGGTGTATTTTTGCTAGAATGATTTTGGGTATATATCCACTAATGGGATTGCTGGGTCAAACGGTAGCTCGATTTTAAGTTCCTTCAGAAATCTCCAAACTGCAAAGCAACTTTTATGTCATAGCGATTTCATTATACATCCCAAAAGACAGAAAGATCTTTTTAAAAAAATCTGAAATGATTACCAGTCACTTTGGTGTTGGTAGTGGTGATTTTGCTTTTCTGAGGCTGTCATGTGAGTAGTGTGGATAAAGCAAGTGAGAAATGGTGTTGGTGACATTGAGATCCAGATTTTTATCATGTGAGAAAAAGGAAATTGATGAGATTGTGTAAAACTCTAGTCCTGATTTTGAAATGGAAATACCAGCATAAATGTATGACTTAATTTATACTTAAAAGAAAATACTTTAAATGTCCCAATTTTGTATCCTGCAAAGTCCTAGAAACAACCAATCCAGTAGTAATTAGTATTCCTCACTCACCAGTGATGGATCTAGATACTATTTCCCACTAAAAAGAACCAACCCCCTTAAATAAATGGTCACACCAGGAAGCAAAGAAATTAAATGACTACTAAGAGTGTTTCAAACAGATTCAGGAGAAACTGAATAGTTCTTATTCCTGGGGTCAGACAATTTGATCCCAAATTAGGATAAAACTGTAATGGATGAATTGAAACATATCAAATTTGTTTGACTCCATAAATGAATAATGATGCTTTAAATAAATTCATCAGTCACATTTGGATGATGCTAGGCATGGTAAAAATTGGTGAATTTTGAAAATTGGTGAATAAAGGGGAGTTTCCTGTTGTGGGTATATTCTAACTAATAAATGATATAGGAATGATAGAATAAGAATGACAACATTTGCAATCCCTAAAGAATTAATGGAGTTAGGCAGAGATCAACAGATGATGATATCACAAAAAGAGAGCAAACCAGACATATATAACCCTGGGTGGAAGGAGATACCACCACTGATAATGTAGTCTTGCCAAATTTACAAGAAATACAGGAAACAGAGGAACATGATAAACAACACCACAGAGATTCAATTAGTAAAATCCAGATTACAGGAAACTGTAAAAGCAAATGACCCAGTGTGTTCAAAAAGATTTGCAAGAAAAAAGGAAGAAATTGGGGAAATCTATAGATTAAAAGTGAAGCGAGACATACCAGTCAATCACTATTTATGGACCTTATCTGGAACCTGCTTCAAACAAACCAACTTTTTCAAAAACACACACACAATTAGGAAAGTCTAAGCACCATTTTAGAATATTAAGAAATTATTGTATAAGAATGGCATTATGGTCATTTTCTTTAAATCTCTATCTTTTAGAGATGTAAACTACAATGTTATAAGTGACAATGTATTAATTTATATAATAGTCCATTAAAATTATTTATAGTAACTCCATTAATAATTTTATAGAGAGAAGATATGGAAATGCATATCTAATAAACTTTATTTTTTATTTTTGTTTTTGTGGAGATGGGGTCTTGCTATGTTGCCCAGGTTAGTCTCAAACTCCTGGGCTCAAGTGATCTTCTGGTCTTGGCCACCCAAAGTGCTGGGATTACAGGCATGATGCGCCATGCCCAGCCATCTAACAAACTTTATTTTATTGCTTAAACTTATTGTTTTCAAGCTTATAAATGACAATAAATTTATTGGGTGTCAGGAGGCCTGAAGAAAACAAGTGACCATGAAAAGAGCTACGACCTATAGCTCTTCAAATGACCCATCTCTTATGGTCCAGGCTTGGCTCCAGAGATGCAGTGATGAATAAGTGGAACATGTAAGCTGAGGTTGTGAGAATGAGAGAGACTCCACGCGTAAGGATCTGGGATGATGGAAGGGCCCTGCGGCGTGGGGACCCCGTGACCAGAAGTCCTGCCACAGTGGAGGAGAGCTTGGTGTAACTGAGTTCATTTGGATCCCTCAAACACTGCCCAGAGCCCTTGAAGGTATCTAAGGGCACACTTCTCAGGCCTGCCCCCATACCACACTCAACTCAGAATCTTTCAAAGGCAGCTGCTCTGTTAGGCTTGCCTGAGATGGTTTGGTTTTCCCTGGATGGGAGAACCACACACAGTGAGAGCTCTAGGACTAAGTTGAACCACACGAAATCGCCAGCTTCATGGGCCCACACTGGCCGAAGGTTGGCAATTTCCCTTGCTCTAACCTCAGCATTCTGAGTGCCAGGACTGGCTCGTGGAGACCAGAGTGGCTGGGGAAATTCTCTTGGCTTTGTGTCTCACTGGCCTTTCTACTCAGGTCGGGCTGGGGTTACAGCACAGATGGGGCCAGGGCCACTGAGCGGGGCCACCGTAGAGCCTCAGGGACAGGAAGGCATAGATAGGCTCTGTGTGGCCTCACCTTCCCTTTCTGGGGAGTAGAGCATCTGGAAAGAAAGGAAACCCGCTTAGAGAAGTAGATTGGGGTTCTAGACTTGAGCAATTATATGCGCAGAGACTGAGGTCTGGTGTAAATCAAAGTAAGAGATCTAGAGCAGGGAAGTGAGCACCACAGTGTAGACCTCAATGGCAGTGTAACCTCGATGGCAGTGTAGACCTTGATGGCGGTGTAACGTCGATGGCAGTGTAGACCTCAATGGCGGTGTAACCCCCATGGCAGTGTAAACTCGATGGCAGTGTAGACCTCAGTGGCAGTGTAACCCCCATGGCACTGTAATGTCGATGGCAGTGTAACCTTGATGGCAGTGTAGACCTCAATGGCAGCGTAACCTCAATGGCAGTGTAGACCTTGATGGCGATGTAGACCTCGATGGCAGGTGGAATGTGGGAAGCACATAAAACATGGGGGGAAAATGAGAGAAGACCTTTCTCTAAGCCAGCATTTGCTCCAATTTACAGCAAGGAGGACCTGGTACCTTACCATACCTTGTCTGTAGTTGGTTGACTTCAGCTTAGTAGGAATCGCTGACGGTACGTAATTCTTTTAGCTTAGGATGGGTTCAGCCATTTTAAATTCATCATTTCAATGTGATCTTTATGAAATTTAGAGTTTAAAAAATTCTACTCATTGTCATAGAAAAAAGATAGATGATAGGGAGGGAGGGAAGAAAAACATCTCAGTGACCTTCCAACTAATTATTCCAATAATGACTCTGGCCATAGGGCGGGCAAGTGAAATAAGGTGCCCCTTAGAGTGTGCTGCCTTATCTTAGCAATTATGTACTAATGAGAGCCTGATATTTGAAATAAATACACTAATGATATCAGTTCATTTTACATTCAGCTTCACATAATAAAAAAACTAATGCTTACTAGATGTACTGATAGTGGCTTAAACAGGATAGATATTTATTTCTCTTTTGCGACAAAAACAGTCTGCAGGTAGTTAATCCAGGGCTGTTTTGGAAGTTCTGTAGTCAACAGAGACCCAGGCCTCTGGTATAATTTTGCTCCTCCACCAACCTCAGTGGATCACCTCACAGCCCCAAATAGCTACTTGAGATCCAGGCATCACATCTGTATTCCAGGCTGCAGTAGGAAAAAGAGAGAGAAGGTTACCCCCTACCTGTTTCAGGAGATTTCTATTAAGACCCCATTAGGTAAAGCTTAGTCACAGAACACATCTGAGTGAGGATGCATTTGTACAATATTTTAGATTAGATGGGCATATTGCTGATCTGATTAAAATGAATGTTTTCTTACATGGAGAAGAGAATGAAGCATCTTGGGGTGGATGCTGGCCATCTCTTCACTTCAGCAGTAGGGCCTGCTGTTGGCCAAGGCACCTATGTGACGGAGAGGCTTCTGTTATGAGATTAGATAGGAACGACACCCACGTAGAACAAAAAGTAAATCCTTTCCTCCCTCCAACTTTCTCCTAAGTGCTTTCAATTTCTTATAGGCTGGGTTTTCAATTCCAGGAAAATAAAGCTTCAGAAAGTGGCTGTGACAGGTTGCCCCACATGAAACCTCCCATGCACGTAATCACTGTGCCAGATATAACTGAGAGCTAATTTCATATTTCCTGCCTATCATATTGGAAAATTGAGCTGTCAGATCTCTTTAAGGACTACATGCCAAAATGAGAACTCCCAAGCCCTTCTCTTCGCAATTCATTTCTGCAGGACTTTTTTTTTTTTCTCACTATCTTCAAGACTCAAGAAAGTTGTACTAGAAGCCAAATCCATCTAATTTGAGTAAGCTTTTGAAGTTCAGATATTTGCTGTGGATAAAATTGAGAGAATTTACAAGGAAAAGCTTCTCTGAAGTATCCCTTCCCACTAAAAGTCCCTTCATTTCCAAAGCGTTTCAAACTTTGGGTTGTGAGATAACCACTGCATTGTGGGAGGTCGGCTTGGTTCTCGGCCCTCTGTGTCCAGAGCACCCTGACATACCTGTGCAATGAAGAGCTGGGTGAATGAGAAATAAGTAGGGAATTACTCAATGTGTCCGCCTCCCGGGTTCAAGTGATTCTCCTACCTCAGGCTCCTGAGTAGCTGGGACTATAGGCCTGCGCCACCACACCCGGCTAGTTTTTGTATTTTTAGTAGAGATGGGGTTTCACTATGGTGGCCAGGCTGGTTTCAAAGCCCTGTCATCAAGTAATCTGCCTGCCTTGGCCTCCCGAGGTACTGGGATTACAGGCGTGAGTCACCGTGTCTGGCCCAGTGCATCTGTTGAATGTGATTAAGCTGCATGCTGTGAAGGTATTCCAGGAGACTTACAGCTGGTGAGGAAACCTTAGGCTCCGTCATTTAGGAAAGAATCTTCCAATCTATGGACCACCTCACTTGTGTTCTTTTCTTGTAGCTTTTTCTGAGCTCCTTTGCATCCTGCGTTTTCCCAAAAGGTACTTAACTGGGTGGAAACGTGCATCTTCTATTCCCAAAAAGCATGGTAGTCTACGGGTTGGACTTAAATCCAGTAAAAGCAGCTTAATTTTTTTCATTAAGTTCTATAAATAACTGAGTAATGATGGTCATCCAATAATTGATGGGGGATATGTCTAAAATTAGACAAGATGCTCCTGAGAGGATATCCCAAAATGAAGAGGAAGGGAAGAGGAAGAGAATATACCTCTGTGCTTTGCTCTGTGAAGAGTTTATGGGCATTATTCAGAAGGAGAGATGTGTTGTGTTGTGTTGTGTTGTGTTGTGTTGTGTTGTGTTGTGTTGTGTTGTGTTAGAAGCCAGGCATATTTGAAGGTAGAAGCTCACCAGCATGGAGATGGTGACCATAAAGACCAGGTCCAAATATGGATAAGGTATGACATAAGTAGAACGTGTCATCAATTTTCTTTTCTTCTCCTTTCTTCACCATTTTCCCCATCATCTGATGTGCTATATCCCTAGGTTCCCACTGTTATTTTTCCCTCTCTCCTCCTATCTCAAAAGATGTGTTGAAACTAATTCACACCTAAATTGGAATAGAGCATAAATGAATGTCCGTGGAATTTCAGCCAATGGTGAGTATCTAGGGTCTCTTGAGGAGCAGACTACCTAGTCCTATTTTATCTACTCGTAAGACTAACCCCGCAGCAAGTAATTATTTTAAGAAAAAAGTCTGGGAAGTGGCTAAGCAAAGTTAATTATTGCAGACCAATTCTGTGAGTTTCATTGCCCGCAGGAAGGATCACTGTAGAAAGTTCTGGGAGATCCTGCAGTCGTCATGTGCTATAATATTGACAAGAGGATTATGAAATCACAGGTGAGAAGACACCTAGCCCAGAAATTTTCAAACTTTTTTGTTATAAGTCAAGTGTTTTTAAATAGAAATAGTATGGGGGAATCTTAAAAGGTAAAACATATAATAGATAACACAGAGCCGTTTTGGTAGAAACCTGGGGTGGTTCAGGGCTAAGGGGTTAGGGAATGTCAGAGGTTCTTGGGGAAACCCTGGAGTTTGGGGCCTGAAGTCCAAACATCACAGCTCCATCCAACCCACACGTTGTGAGGACCCAAAAGCTTGGGCTCTGAGATGCCGAAAGACTTGTACAAAGTT